>NC_000004.12:110891077-111042593 GCF_000001405.40 Homo sapiens
TGAAAAGCTCTGCTATAGACAGTGGAAACTATCAAAGTTTACAAAGTGCTATTCGAGGGAGATTAACCTGACAGTAGTATGTATGTGGGGAGAGTGTTTGGGGCAGGAAGATAAAATAAGCGATTACCAAAGTCCAGGTGTAAAATAATGCATGCCTGCAATAACATGGCATAGCAACAATAAAAAGAAGGGAGTCAAGAGACACAAAACTCAATGGGAGACAGAGGAGGAAATATGATATCCTAGTATTGAACCTGGAAGACTGGGGAAATGATGGTTCCACTTAAAAGGCAAGGAAGAGAAAATCCAGAGGGTAAACTGGTTTCTGTAAGCTAGGCTGTACATATCAAGTTCAAGGTGATGGAAGACAGCCAGATGGAAATGGAAATTAGAGATGTGAGAATGAAGTTTAGTGGAGGGCTCAGGATTGGACATAACACTTTAGGAGCTATCTATGAGAGGCAATAGTTAAAATCATCAGAGTAGATGGAGTTTCTGAATAAGAGTTTGCAAAAGAAAAACAAAGATAGAACTAAGCCTTAGGACAGTGTTTTCAAAGTAGGGATCCCAGACTAGCAGTATCAGCAACTGGGAACTTCTTAGAAATATGAATTATCAGGTTGACATATATAAAGGCAGACATATATAAAGACTGGGCCAACTCTGGGCACACTGCCTATGAGTTAGCCCTGCTCCACAAGGATTGGTTAAAAAAATACCAGGTCTATAGATAAGACAATCCTAAGCAAAAAGAATAAAGCTGGAGGCATCATGCTACCTGACTTCAAACTATACTACAAGGCTACAGTAGCCAAAACAGTATGGTACTGGTACCAAAACATATATATAGACCAATGAAACAGAACAGAGGCCTCAGAAATAACACCACACATCTACAGCCATCTGATCTTCAACAAACCTGACAAAAAGAAGCAATGGGGAAAGGATTCCCTATTTAATAAATGGTGCTGGAAAAACTGGCTAGTGATATGCAGAAAAAAGAAACTGGACACCTTCTTCAACCTTATACAAAAATTAACTCAAGATGGATGAAAGACTTAAATACAAAACCTAAAACCATAAAACCCTAGAAGAAAACCTAGGCAATACCATTCAGGACATAGACATGGGCAAAGACTTTATGACTAAAACACCAGAAACAATTGCAACAAAAGCCAAAATTGACAAATGGGATCTTATTAAATGAAAGGGCTTCTGCACAGCAAAAGAAACTATCATCAGAGTGAACAGGCAACCTACAGAACGGGAGAAAATTTTTGCAATCTATCCATCTGACAATGGTATAATATCCAGAATCTAGAAGGAACTTAAACAAATTTACAAGAAAAAAACAACCCCATCAAAAAGTGGGTGAAGGATATGAACAAACACTCCTCAAAATGAGATATTTATGTGGCCAACAAACATATTAAAAAAAGCTCATCATCACTGGTCATTAGAGAAATGCAAATCAAAACCACCATGAGATACCATCTCACGCCAGTTAGAATGGCGATCATTAAAAAGTCAGGAAACAACAGATGCTGGAGAGCATGTGGAGAAATAGGAATGGTTTTACACTGTTGGTGGGAGTGTAAATTAGTTCAACCATTGTGGAAGACAGTGTGGCGATTCCTCAAGGATCTAGAACCAGAAATACCATTTGACCCAGCAATCCCATTACTGGGTACATACCCCACGGATTATAAATCATTATACTATAAAGAGACATGCACACGTTTATTGCAGCACTCTTTACAATAGCAAAGACTTGGAACCAACCCAAATGTCCATTAATAACAGACTGGATAAAGAAAATGTGGACATATACACCATGGAATACTATGCAGCCATAAAAAGAATGAGTTAATGCCCTCTGCAGGGACGTGGATGAAGCTGGAAACCATCATTCTCAGCAAACTAACACAAGAACAGAAAACCAAACATTGCATGTTCTCACTTATAAGTGGGAGTTGAACAATGAGAGCACATGGATACAGGGAGGGGAACATCACACACCAGGCGTGTTGAGGGGTGGAGGCAAGGGGAGGGAGAGCATTAGGACAAATGCTTAAAACCTAGATGATGGGTTGATAGGTGCCTCAAATCACCATGGCACATGTATACCTATGTAACAAACCTGCACGTTCTGCACATGTATCCCAGAACTTAAAACAAATAAAACTTTCATTATTATTATTATTATTATTATTATTATTATTATTATTATTATTTTGAGATGGCATCTCACCCTGTTGCCTAAGCTGGAGTACAGTGGTGTAATCTTGGCTCACTGCAACTTCTGCCTCCTGGGTTCAAGTGATTCTCCCGCCTCAGCCTCCCAAGTAGCTGGATAAAAAAATACAAGGTCTAGCTGTCACCCAGGCTGAAGTGCAGTGGCACAGTTATAGCTCACTGCAGCCTCAACTTGGGCTCAAGCAATCCTCCTGCCTCAGCTTCTTGAGTAGCTGGGACTACAGGAACATACCACCACACCCAGCTAATGGGCTAATTTTTTTTTTTTTTTTTTTTTTTTTTTTGGTAGAGATGGGGATCTCACTTAGCTACACAGGCTGGTCTCAAACTTTTGGCTTCAAGCAATCCTCCTGCCTTGGTTTACCAGAGTGTTGGGATTACAGGTGTGAGCCACTGCACCTGGCTGGGAAAACATATTTTAAGTTAATTACTTTTTTTTTTCCTGTGATATAGGATAGACTTGGGCATGTGTATTAGCAGAAGGGAAGGGGCCAAAGAGAAGGGATAGGACACCAATTTAAGCAAGCCCCACTTTATTCACTCTTTCTGTAACCTCTATTTGTAAATTTTTATTTGTAGACATTTGTATCTATCTCTATATTCATATCTGTACCCTGTTTATTATTTATCAATGATGCCTGTTTCATGATGCTGAGTGAGTATCTTGCAGAGACTGAAATCTCCAGGACAATAATTATATAGAAGTCAGAATAGCCAAAGAAAGTAATAATCAAATAATCAAATTAGGATTATTTGGTGAATTTAACATCTGTAGGAACAGTTTCCAAGAAGCCACTAATCTGTGCATTCCCCACTCAGGAAATAAAAAAGTGCCGTTTAAGGTTGATCCTTACCTAATTAGGGCAGCATGAATCCTAGAAAACACCTTTAATTTTATTTTTCTCTTAACGGCAAAGTGGTTCAGGAGGAATTTAAACAAACCCTTGAAACAATAATCTGTTTTATAAAACTTTTACTTTCTTTATTCTCCTATATATCTATAGAGGCACCCTAATCTGTATTTACATACACAGTTTGTTCTTACTGAAAACTTCAGCATTATACAATTCTTCTTTCAAAAGTTTTTCAAGCTTTTTTTAAAAATAAAAACATTGGAGTAGATGAGGTAATATTCTGTTTTTTCTCTTATCTTTTGTTCTTTATAATCTGTTAATGCTATTATGTTTATATAACCTTTCATTCTTTTAAAGTTATTTTCAGTAATTTAATTTAGTTCTCAGATGTGTGATCATTGGTAAGTTATCCAACGTCTTTGTACATCAATTCTCTCACCAGAAAAATGGGTTTATAATATGAACCTACTTCAAAGCGTTTCAGGGATAATAGTAAAAATAACATTTTAAAAATATGATGATTATAACTCAACTAGACAATTTCCAAAATAATCAGTACATAAAAATAACACCTTTCATCCAGATTTATAGTTGGGAATATTGTGATCGAATGAAGCAATGTGCTCTATTTAATTCTAATTAGAATTTAACTCCCTGTGTTAAAATATCAGCAGTTCTCTCTGTCATTCATAGCACAGCTTATTTACACAGGTACATTGTGAGTCTAATCATTTCTCCTTGAACTTAGTAAGTATATAACAAAAGTATTATATATACATATAAATAAATATATATGACAGAAGGCATTCTAACTTTCAATAGCATTGTGAAACACATACACACAATATTAATCTGAGCTAACGGAGAAACAAATTTTGTGGTCCACAGCTATTTATAAGAATGACAGTGAAGACTGGAGCAGATTAGAGAAAATTGTTTGGCAGAATTCTTGTATTCTCAAGAAGTCATTAAATGCAGTAGTTGAGGAAGTATGAGTGATTCTTAGAATTCATCCCTTGGAATCTTCTAATCTTCTAGATTAGGTCAGTGGACAAGATTAGATACTTGTGTTTTTCTATCAAATGTCAGAAAATGAGACCCATAGACATATCTTCTTTTTACTTGTTGAACAAGAGAGAAGGCAAGATTGTGAATGTGTGTGCGCGCATCCCCACACCCATGCATGGGTATACACATGTGTGGTTTGGGGAGGAGAGAGTAAAAACAAGGGTTTATGGGCATGTTGGCCTCTTCTAGTGATTCTAATGGGTACCAGGTAGAATTTGTGATTTTGTTTCTGTTTGATTAAAGATATGACATGATGCCATATGGGGACATTGAAAAGTTCGTACTCTGATCTATTTGAATTCGGGTCATTTGGTTATGTAAGTTTTTCCATAGCATTCGTGCTGAAGCACAGCTTTCTCTGAAACACTTTGATAAGATGTTTTTGTTCTATATAGATTCAGAATTTTTCTCCTTTAAACAGATCTTAGTGATCCTTGCTTTCAAACTTTTTATTTTACAGATGATTACTTTGAAGCATAAAATATGTATATGACCCTGTATTATAGTCAGTTCTGGCTACTATCATGAAGTATCATAGACTGCATGGCTTATACACAACAGAAATTTGATTCTTACACTTCTGGAGATGGTAGTTGCCCAGCTTGAAGTTCTAGAGGCTGGGAATCAAGGTGCCAGCATGGTCAGGTTCTGGTGAGGACCCTCTTCTGAGCTGCAGACTGCCAACTTCTCATTGCATTGTCACATGCCTGAGAGAGATAAATAATCTCTCATGTTTATTCTTATAAAGGCACCAATCACATTCACTGGGGCTCCATGCTCATGGCCTACTCACCTCTTGAAGGCTGTACCTCCAAATGCCATCAAATTTGGGGTTAAGATTTCAACATATGCATTTTGGGGGGATATCAACATTCAGACCGTAACAGTTGTTTTCCCCCACCTCCTCCCCTTTTTAAAATAATAATTTTGCAAAATCCAATTTGGCGGTGCATAGAGAATAGCAGAATTTCATTTTGTACTTTTTATTCTGCTTGGTCTTTAAATAGTAGGCACAATTTTTTTTCAGGTTGAAAAATAAATATGCTCCATGTGCTGCTTTTTCTTATATATTTTAACTTTATCACTCTGACAATATCTGCAGAGAATGAATAATTCATCATTGGCACCCCTATTTACTATAGATGTTTTATCTTTCTACTCAGAATTTATTAAAGAATTATTTATCAGCCGGGCGCAGTGGCTCACACCTGTAATCCCAGCACTTTGGGAGGCCAAGGCGGGCGGATCATGAGGTCAGGAGATCTAGACCATCCTGGCTAACAGGGTGAAACCCCATCTCTACTAAAAATACAAAAAAAAAAAAAAAATTAGCCGGGTGCGGTGGCGGGCGCCTGCAGTCCCAGCTACTCGGGAGGCTGAGGCAGGAGAACCTGGGAGGTGGAGCTTGCAGTGAGCCGAGATTGCACCACTGCACTCCAGCCTGGGTGACAGAGCCAGACACCGTATCAAAAAAAAGAAAAGAAAAGAATTATTTATCTCGTCAGCTGGGCACAGTGGCTCACACCTTAATCCCAGCACTTTGGGAGGCTGAGGTAGGAAGATAGCATGAGCTCAGGAGTTTGAGACCAGCTTGGGAGACATAGCGAGACCTTTCCTCTACTAGAAAAAAAAAAATTAGCTGGGCCTGGTGGTACACGTCTGTAATTCTAGCTACTTGGGAGGCTGAGGTGGAAGGCTTACTTGAGCTCAGGAGGTCAAGGCTGCAGTGAGCCACGACTGCACCACTGCACTCCAGCCTGAACAACAGAGCAAGACCCTGTCTCAAAAAAAAAAAAAAAAAAAGAACTATTTATCTTGTCATTTCAGGGCTGCTAGAAGCATAGAATTATTAGCATTCAGTCTTCTTTCTGAACTTTTTTTTTTTGCATTTCTTAGTTCTCTGATTACAATGTCTTGTAATGCATAAGATAAAATGCTTAGAATCATTTCAATTGTTTCTTTCTAGCAGATATAGTTTATCATAACTTAATTCAGGTAAACCTGGCCCTGAGTTTAGACTTATGTAGATACTTTGGATCTAGTTAGCATATACTCATGACATTGTTACAAAAGTAAAGTCAGTCTGCTTTCCATGGTCATTGATGGATTTTTGGATACAACCGTACAATTGTCCAGGAAATTCTTTGGGAGGATGTCTTGAGACATAATTGTTTTAATGGTTTTTATACAAATTGCATTTGCTCCTACAGGGAGAAATTGGCATGGTGAAAATTTAATAAAGTAAGGGAGAAAAAGGTGATACTGAATCACATTTGTGAGTGGCAGCTAATAAAAAAGGCAATTTAGTTTTTTCTTTTTTAATTGCAAAATAAACATACAAATATTACATATGCTGTATATCTACATTTAAAAATATGAAATGCTTCATGAATTTTTCTAATTATAGTATCTGGCCATGTTAATATTTTGTTTCCTTTCTATGTTTGAGACACCTGGTTCACTTCTTCAAGTCAAACTTTAGCTCTACTCTTGTCTCCAAAGGTACCTCAGCATCTCTACAGATTTCTCTCTTCTGCTTTCCCACCCTCAGAGATTCTAATTATTTTATCTGGTTAAAACTTGGGCATCAGAATTTTTAAAAACTTCCCCGGTGTTTCTGATGTGCAAAGATTTTTGAGACTCACACTAGAGTCTGGTGTATCTTGCTATATCCTGCTTCCCTTTCTTTACATGTGCTAATTCCTCCGCCAGCCCCTTGATCTCTTTTTGTCTCTTGCCAGACTCACTCATCCATCACGACCGCCCCTTGATGCCTCTCTTCCTCCTTATAGACTTCCCTGACTTTTTAAGGAAAGTTGAATGTTTCTTACTTTGTTTTTTTTTTCTTCGAATCTCCCTTAAATCACCCCTCACATCATTTTACATTTATTTTTATGTGACATTATTTTCCATGCAGGAACCCTGTCATTCCTTTTCGCACGATCAGAAAAGGTAGCCTGGAACCTAGCCCATTGTAGACATCTTCCCCAAATATCATGCTTTTCTTTATCCTACAAAGAAAACAGTTCACATTTCTAGTTAATTAGTGCTAATTAAATTATACCCTTTGGATTTTAAATTTGTACTCTATAAAACAGTAAGAAATGTTCTTAGTAAAAACATCTTTTCCATTACCTCTGATCAGCATAATTTACACAAAGTGTGAAAAAGGTGTGTCTGCTTTAGTTTTTGTTTGCATTTCTAAACTGTACTTTCTGTTTCACTCTTCTGTATCATTCATTGCTGCTTTCATAGATGGTAGAGTGTGGGGGAAAGTGCATCAGGCCTCGTAGTCACACAGACAGCAGCTGGAATCCTGGTTGACCACTTACCTAGCCCTGTGAGCTTGCTTAAGTTTTTAAATTTAATTTCTCTGACCCTTAGGGTAGTCTTCTGAAATTAAAAATTATAAAATCCATAAAGTGGTGATATGAGGAGTAAGTGAAATAATACATATAAAGCACTTACAATCACTAAGTACTAGGTATTATTTAGATATCTAGTAGAGGTGCAAACACTTTTGCAACCTCAATACTATTTGAATAAGATATTTTACTTTGAACAAAATAAATGGTGATTATTAAATGTATGTATGTATGTGTTGGTAATTTTGATGTTTAATGGATATTAATAGTGTAACATATGACCAGTACTCAATTCTCTTCTTCCCTTCCTCTCACCTTTTTTTTTTCTTAACGTAGTCATCACAACACTGAGACTATTTTGTAATGATAAACTTGGAGATTTATACTTCTCAGACGCATTGTTAATGTTTAGAAGTATTAGTAATTCTTACTGGTAATAATACTTGGAAGCACTGGTATATAGGGCTGGTGTTTCTTTGCTTTGAGGAAAATGAAAAAGTGTCAAAGAGACATAAGTCAGAGGATTTGCACAATACATAGAATTTTTGTCTCCAATGCTATACAGTGGAAGAAACACTCACTCCAATGCTTGGTTTAATCTCCCTCTACATTCATGTCAAAACCAGCTTATGTTCTTTGGCAAATATGAACAATCTAATTGTTTGCTTATATTTCCTTTTTACTCCAAGCTTGGTATTTTATTAATTCTATTTCTCAAATTGAACCTAAGTTCATTAATATCAGAAAAAAAGTAGTAAAACATTAGTTTTATGTTTAATTAGCCTGTAAGGGCGATCTAGCAAAAAACTTACGAAGCACCCTCCTACCCCCATGTAGTCCATTAACGATATGATATATAAATGGAAACATTGAAACGTTATTTTTTTTTTACTTTGTAATGAATGCCTATCTCTTACTGCTTTTTCTTTCAAACACAGGCCAATGCCTGTATTAACAGTATTTCAAAATCTAGTCATCAAATCTGAGAGGACAATAACTCTGTAGTGCTCAAAAGATAACCATGCTTCATGCTAAAGCACCATGAGTTCAAGTTCTACCAAGGAGGACACAAAGGAAACTCTGAGTGCACTGCCCACTTTTAAAATATGAATTGCTAAAAAAAGAGATGCTGAAGTTTAAAATAACAGCATGCAGATTTCTTTATAGAATTTAAAGAATGGAAAACACTTGCAAAAATATCGGCAGGCAGAGGCAGGAAGAACAAACGGTAACCAAATTGGTTCCTGTGACAAACCATAACATTTACTTTAAACCATCAGTGTGCTACTCAGTAAAAGGCAGGCTACCATTCTTTTAATAGATCCCAGGCCTTGTTAAACTCACTGGTCTGCAAGAATTACCCAGGTCAAGAGCAGGTCAAAAAGTGAAAACCCATGTGAAAGTAAACTTTGAAATATCTGCTTTTGAGGAGACTCAGCCGACTGTCTCCTCTGCAGTAAATACACTTCCGTTTTGTGTATGATATTGTTCAATATACTGTACTTAAAATACACACAGGTAACATAAACGGCACTATGCTATTTTATATCCTTCCTATTAAGTGCAATTTCAACCTCTTCTGTAGTTTGTGAATCTTTCTTATGTACTTTCTAAAGCCTTAAAAAAAACCCCACTAAACTTAATAAAGAGAAAGTTGTTACTCTGTTTTGAGTAGTTGCTTCTATTTTGTTTTAAAATATCTATGTTCTATTTAAAACTAGACCTTTGATTCCCTCATAGTCAGAATAAAGAAGCTGGAGGGTGACTCACTGTGGAATTTATTTGCCTGGTAAACTGGGTATTAATCTGGCCTACAATACACTTGCTCCAGATTTTGTTCAAGTGTAAGGTCATACTGTGAAGCTGTTTTTCATTTTGTTTTATATGTGTTAATATAATGCCTTATGAATTACCCTAGAGTTTTGTTCTGACAGCTAAAAAGCATAATCGTTTTTCCTTTCAAGGGGATTGAAAGCAAAGCAATTCACTCTATATTTGAAATGATTTATCTAAGATCCTTTCTCTCACATCTTGCCTTAATGTTTGTAGAGAATATTCTTTGAGTTTTTACTGGTAGCATTGTATTTATCAAGCTCTTTGCCTTTTTGCCTGTTTCTCAAAATTGAGTCCATCTTTCAGTATGATCTTTTAGAGTTTATTGGCAAAACTGCCTGCAGAGTTAATGGGCACCATACTATGATTTTGATAGGAAAGAAATAGTCTCTTGAGAATTAAATCAGAGTTTTCCTGGTAGATAAAAAGAGATCCTTCTACTGTCTTCTAAGCAACAGGAGAAAAAGAGAGGCATAATTTTTCCTGCATTTAATTATAGGATAAAGTGTCTGTATACAATGGCTATAAATGAACAATATAATTGCAAAAGATACAGTGTCAGTTTCTGAATGAAGAGGGAAAAATGACCACGTATTTTCCTAAACACATGTAAAAATAACTAACGTCCAAACATATATAAGACGGTTGCCAAATGGTGATGATGGTGGTGGTGGTGGGAAGTGGTACTATTGATAAGAGCTAATAGTTATGAAGCTCTTACCAAGTGCCTGGAATGTTCTGAATATTTCGTATGTATGAAATTATTTAATCCTCACAAAACCATATGAAGTAGGTAATATTATTGTGTTTCTGGGTTGCAGAGAGATTAGGTAAACTGCCCAAAGTCGCAGAGCTAGAAAGTGCAACAACCTGAATCAAACCTGGTAATCTTGTTCCAAAGCCTGTGCTTTTAAACCCAGTGCTAAATGATGTAAGATTTAAGACAACTTTAGAAGACTTCAGAGAGAGAAGAAATCACTTCCAACTGGTGTTACTAAAGAAAGCGTACAGAAGGTGGGCTTCAGTTGATTGTGGAGCCTGAATAGTTGATTGTATGAAAGTACATTCTGGGGCTGTCTCTGTCCTCATTGTTCCCCTGGCACCAAGCACTGGGCCTGGTGCACACCACACACATGATGATTAAATATGACCTGAATGGTCATGTATGTCATTATCTGTATCCCTATTGATCTGGCAATACACCTTAATGTTGCAATACATTGATCTGGCAACACATTTAAATATGATGCTGTATTTAACTAAACATAAACTTTTTAAAAACCTCCATAATACTTAAATGCACATATCTATGCCCTGCTCAAACTTTCCTCTTTAGTGAAACCTTTTTCATAAACCTATATAAATCCATTCACTTTTCTGTTTGCTCAGTATAATTCTAATAACTACAAAGAAGTGGGTTATATTTTTTTGTGTTCCAACTCTTTAATGTTTACTTGTTCTCTTCTTATTTTATACTCTTCTAGGCCAAAGTCATAGTAATTAATTTTATTTAGAATTTTGGCTCCTTTATGTATTTGATTGTAGTCCAGTTAACTGCTAACAATAGATATAAGTAGATAATATAAAAAAAGGATGAAGCAACAAAGGAGATTCAAATACGTTGTTTAAAATATTTGAATAACACTACCCATAGTTTTTAGCAATCAGTAGGGTTTTTGCTGAAGATCTTAAAAATCTTTACCCTCAGGGAACTTATAGCTTTGTGTTACATATAAAAGAAATAGCTGAACACAATATTTGTATTTTTAAAGAAAGATGGTTTTAGAGTCTGACACTTGTGGTTGCAAATCCCAGCTCTGTTGCCTCTGATCCAATGACAAGGGGAAAGTTAGTTAAACTCTTGAATGTCAAATTACTCATACGTCATAGAATTTTAATGAGAATTACATAATATATAAATATAATTTAATGTATAAATGCTTAGTGTAGTGTCTTTTGCATAAAGAGATTTTAATAAATGGTGATAGGGCCTATAATTATTATTGTTTTTAATTGTGGAAGGCATTCATAGGGATTCGTGTAATTATGTTGGCTGGAGCTTTCAGAAAAAGGTGGACCTTAAAGAATGAGTTAGGAAGAAAGGAGTGGGAAATATTTCAACAGGAGAAAGAGCATGGCCAAAGACACAGGGAAGGAATAAATCTGTCTCCTATTAAACTATGTGAGAAGTTGGCCAGAGTGGTGAGAAGTAGGAGCATTAGACTGATAGAGACAGGCATGTAGCCAAATGGCATTACTTGCATGCCTACATGATGTCGGGATATGCAAGCACAGACTTGCATTTTTTCTGAGCATAAATGAAAAGTCAATTAATGGCTCCTAAAGTGAGTATGGGGCATGAGGGAAGTGGTATTTTAGGAAGACTCGATCTGGTTGGGATGTGGTTAGCCTGGAAGAGGAAGGAATTATAAGCGGGAAGGTCAACAGTGAGGCTTTTGTGTGGTAATCTAAAGATTTCAGGCATAGTCCACCAAATAATGATGGAAGCAGTAGGAGTGCCAGGTGAAGAGACCAAGAATCTGAGAGACTGTGAGAGATGATTTGAAATACGAAAGAGGTGTCAAAAACAGAAAAGTCACAGTACTCAGCAGCTTCTGGTTTTTGTTTTTAACATTTAGGCATTTTAACATTTAAAAACTAGTGTTTCAAAAAATTGTAGTGACTGCCCTAAAACAACATTGTCCTACAGCTCTTGTAAGATATTGTGATAATATGAAAGGTTAACTTAACTGGAAATTCAGAGTTTAATCTAAATAACAAGGTCTTCTAAATCTTATCAAATCTTAAACCACATTGTTTAAATTGAGTTTTATCATAACTATCTCTCCTTTAAGTAAATTACTTTCTGATGTGCTAGGGGAAAAAATCCTTTCACATTAACCAGATGAAGTAACATCAGTTTGCTTTTGAAATTGTCTATTTTATTATTTCATCATTCCTTCTTTCTGAAAAGTGAAACCTTAAAAGAAAAAAAATCTTAAGACAATATAATTATATCTTTTAATAATCTCAAAGGTAGAATGAAGATAAAGTAGAATATTAAGATCTTTTTACAAATGAGGGGGAGGGGATTTGTGCTACATTACTCAAACTGATGCTCTGGAAACTCGACCAGGAAAAAGTCACTTTCTCAGGGGGTAAAAGCATTATTCGTATTATAGGGAAGTGTAGTCCAGCATCTCATTTTTAAAAGCCATTGGTCTTTTATTAATGCCATTGACATTAGGATAAGGTTTTGTTTTAGCACATTATTGTCAAATATTTCTAAAACAAACATAGTTGCAGAAATAATGCTTCTACTTTTCATTGCTAATGAGAAATAATGGAATGAAAGAGTCATGGAAATAATTTAGATATGGGTACAAAAACAAAACCGTTCCAAACTATTAACTTTTTCTTAAATCAAGTTTTTCATTTTCATTATTTTACTCAAGACTGCAGGTTTAAAAATGTAAACTTCAGAATGAAACTGAAATGATTTAGTTTTTGAAATGGATGGTAATGTATTTTGTTTTAGTTTTGCATGCATACCGAAAAACACAGTTATTACAGATGGGATGTTTTATTAATATTATTTCTCAAATAAATAAATTTTGTGGTCATTCATTTTAAATTACATAACATCCTGGATTTTGGTTAAGTATCATTTTAAAAACTGTACATATGATGAAATAAATCAGGCAAAATATTTAGAACTTTAGTACATAACTTTTAAAATAAGAGGATAAATATGATGACACAAAATTGATATGATTAGGTTACAGTTATCATTAAATAATATGGATACCAGTTTTTATTAATTTGGCTCAATTGGAACTTTCAAAAAAATTATAACAAGAGTAATGTTCACTTAAAAACTATTTTTAGAAATCTATTCTTTCTGATTTTGCATCTTATCCCTTCGACTAGGAAAGAAAACTGTCTAGAGATGAAGAATGTGAGCCTTTGTTACAGAGTTTGCACCATTTCCTAGGGTAGAACCCTAGTGACAGTCTCTTTTAATCTTTGTGTTAAATTATTAATTATTCTGTTTGTTTGGCTTTGCTATCTGGTGGTATCGTTATAGAGATTACATGGCACTATTCCATTTCATCAGGAAGCTTGCATTTTTATTTCTTACCTAAAGACTACATTCAATCCAGTTGGAGGTTAGCCTGAGATGTGTGGCGATGACTTGCAAAATAATCGCTTTTTCTTAATCTTTAGATGAAGATTCATCATTTAGAAAAACCCAGTAGTTGCTCACTTACAGCCTGGGTAACGTCTTTTGTATTGAAAGATCACACTGGAGACTGTTTATTTACAATGGTCTAAACATGCGTATCTTTATGGCTTTCTCCTGTCACAATGAATCATCAGCTATAAGTTGTCCTTTGTTGGTTTTAGGAACAATCAAATGAAACCCAGCAGGAGATTGTAGAGTGCATTGTCCAAGAGTGTAAAAATGCTGTGTTGATGACAGATCATACTGTTTTTATTAAAGCTAAGAACATTGACTTTACTTTGCTTTTTGACCCTGGTACTCTACTGTCAAGGTGATTTTATTTCTACAAATTTTCGTTCTGCTGGCCTCATCAATGATTCACCATAAAACATTAGACAAATTCCCATCATCTGTATATGATTATAGCAGATTCTGTGGTGCTGCTCACTGCAACTAAAAAGATGTTTTTCAGCTTTGTCTAAAGGGGAATCTATTTGCTAACATTCTTCCTTTGCACAATGTCTCCTTGTTTTAATAACAAATTATAAAATGATTTGAACTCAATGTAAAGTATCCTAGTGTGTCATTTAATAACATCTGCTAAAAAGTTTAGGTTATCTTCATATTTTTTTAAAAGAGAAAAAATACTGTGTTTAGTAAATAATGATATATAGGGGCAAGATATGTGGAATTATTTGGTCTCTTTAAGACATAAATGGAGTGCAGCTCTCAGTTCTTAGAGTTACAACTTGTATTACATTTAGAAAACTGTTTGAAAATAACCTAAAATGTAACTAGATAAAACAGGTAATATATACAAGATAGTGAAGCTGTTAACATTACTGTACAAGCAGCAGTCTGTTGGAAGACCAGGCACTTTGACTCATCTTTCTCTTGTAATCTCAAATTGGTTTTCATTATGTCATTTCTATGGTGTGGTGCTTGCTATTCTATGACCTAAAACAGTTATTCACAGGATTAAGAAGATTTAATGCATTCTTTCAGGAGATATATATTCTATAAGTTTATATAATAACAATAAAAATAATGATTAACTGAATGTCTATTAACTGCTAGGTGCTTTACATACATTATCTCAGTTACTCTCCACCTAGCAACATGGTATAATGATGATAAAACTGAGTCTCAGAATAGTTAAGTAGTTTATGCAAGATTTCAAAACTAATAAGTGGCAGAACAGAGAATTGAATGCAGATTTGCCTAACTCAAGGCTAGTACTTTTCCTACTGCCCTGCATGGGTTAGAAACCCAGGCAGTCTAGCTTGAGACTCCATGCTTTCACTGTGTAATATGCAAATGCTATCACTGTGAGAAGCTTGGGTTTTGCATTTACTCTTCTTGCACAATTCTTAATGGCTACATCTTGCCTAATAAATTACCTAAAAATGTTTCTTTGTACCAATTTGGGTACCCCCTAAGGCCTATCATTTCAGCCTCTTTCCCTACTGTGTCCTTTCACATGTCCTGAACCCCAACAATTTGCACTTAACGCTGGTTCCCAATATGCTTTTTGATTATTTTTCTTAGGGAAAAATGCCTTCCCCCCACTCTTGGTTTCCATGAGAGAAAGCTTCTTCCTCAGCACACTACTGGTCTCCTGTGTCACACTTCTCCACCTCTGGGAGGATGGAGTGACTTATGAAGGATGAATTTGGGAATAGTGACTGAGCATGTCCTATCTCTGCCATTAAGTTGGAACCTCACTGCTGGGATTGGCACCTTGTTTGGCTAGGGCACAGCTTGGGGCTGCTGCTCTTGGCTGGGGGAGTCTGTCTAACTCTGGGATTCCATTAGCAGACACATTTGGCTCTTCAACATGGCATCTATTAATAGAGCAATGAAGTTCTTGTTTTGGCTTCTATGTTTATTCTTTGTTTTATTTCTCAACTTGTTTTGAACTTGGGTGGGGAAGGGGCATGACGTTTATTGAGAACTCTGTCTGAGATTCCAAATGTGCTATTCCCACTACCTAGATTGCCTCCTTCAATATCCTCCTACCAAAGTCGCATTTAACATTCAATTTCTTCTTAAATGCATTTCTCGTCTGTGACGTTTCCTCCTATGACTGCCCCATGTGGATAGACTCTTTCCTTCCTTCAAATCTCCCTGGCCCTTTGTTGTTACCTCTTCAAGTAGTATTTATCATAGCCCATATGATTCACTTATTTATTCACTTTATAAGTATGAATGCATTGTCCTTATATCTGGGGTTATAGCAGTGAACAATTCAGATTTGATCTCTATCTCTCTTGAAGTTAGCTTAGCAGAGTAAACATGGATTGGAAAGTAATGACAAGTGGTATGACTGGGAAATGGCAGTGCAGGTGCTCTGGGGAGTAGACCATATGGTAGGGGTGCCTAACCTAAACCGGGGCATGATCAAGGTGGCAACAAGATCTCAGGCAGGCTGTGCTCCTTTCTGGAGCTTTAAGACTTCTTCCAAGCATCTAAGTCACAAAAAGAAAGGACTTTTAGGCTATTATCTGAAAAATGAGTAGGAGTTATGTGGGTGAATGGGCTAAATGGCTAGGAGATAGGATGTGGAGAGAAGAACACCTCCCAGGAAAATGAACTAGGAGGTACAAAGAGTTTAGAAGTGAGCAGATAATAGGACATGTCACAAGTATTGGAACTAGACCACATTCTCAACAAGCAGAACATCACACAATATATTACAAATTTGTGGCCAGGCGTGGTGGCTCATGCTTGTAATCCCAGCACTTTGGGAGGCTGAGGCAGATGGATCACCTGAGGTCAGGAATTCAAGACCAGCCTGGCCAACATGGTGAAACCCCATCTCTACTGAAAATATGAAAAATTAGCTGGGCGTGGTGGCACATGCCTGTAATCCCAGCTACTGAGGAGGCTGAGACAGGAGAATCACTTGAACCTGGGAGGCGGAGGTTGCAGTGAGCTGAGATCGTGCCACTGCACTCCAGCCTGGGCAACAAGGCAAGACTCAGTCTCCAAAAGAAAAAAAAATTGTGGAAATGAGTTATTTTTCATTAAATTGAGTTCCCTTAATCTTTACTCTGGAATAGTCAATAATAATAAAAAGTATTATTTGTAGAAGATTTATCATATGTCAGGTATTAGTTAGCATTGCATATCTATTAGTTTATTTAATCTTTCCAATAAACTTATTATGATACTATTATCTCAATTTTAAAGATAATAAAACCAGATTCAGTATAATAAAACCAGGTACAGTAAGTAACTTGGCAAAGGTAATAAAACTAATAAGTGCAGAGCCCAGGAGCCATGAGTTTCCTCATTCCAAAGTTCTCTCTGTAAATGACAATTACAGCTACTGCTATGCTACTATGGAATATCATCTCTAATCAGTGTTTACTATGTGCAGTCATTGTTCTAAGTGCTTTATGTACATTATCTCAGTTAATCCTCATAACAGCCCTATGAGGTTGGTAGTGTTATTTATTATCCCTGTTTTACAGGGCAAGACATTCAGACACAGGGGTAGCTAAGCAGCTTGACTAAATTCATAGAGCTAGTAGGTGACAGGGTCAGGATCTGAATTCAAGCTGCCTCTCTATACAGCTCAGGTTTCTTAATCATAATCGAACAATTATAACTCTAATAAAGATTTTTGCCTATGTGCTAAAAGTCTTGGAGGAAGAAATGGTAAAAATGTGTAGGCTTTCAGAACAGGGTTTATAGGAGACATAAACATTATTTTAGAAAGACTTGATTTTAAAAGTTGGCATATGTTCAAATATGAATATTACTTAGAAACAGTTTATAAAAGTCCATTGAGTTAAAATAAAATGGGTAGTGGTTAGTAAATAGTTTTGCCTAGTTGGTGTGGCAAAGAATCCAAACTCTGAGTGGAAGGGTCATTTTGAAACGGAAGGTATGGGATGACAGGCAGTAGAGAGGCAGTTTTAAGATTGGGACATGCCATTTGATTTACAGTACATTAGATACATTTTTGCTTTCTGAAAACAGGAGCTTCAAGAGCAAAGAGATGGTTTAGGATTATTACAATATTTGCAAAACTATAGGTTTTTTTTATTACCACACACATTATCTATAGGCAACATGATATATGGAATTTTGCTTTGGGGAAATTGATAGAGTAGAAAATTAACTAGATATACACTACTCAGAATTTTGCTTTTCTAGAAGTTCAAGATTTTCCAAGTCACAGAGGATACCGAAGATTACTTAATAAATTCATTCCTTGTGACAGAGATTTTGGAATTGCTCCTATGATGTATGTGGGAGTATAAAGGCACCTGAGGTGATAGTACTAGGGGGTTAACCCTTGGAAGAAGGAAATGGTCTTGATTTGTCTTGAGTCATGACTCATTCCTTATAATCCTTCAACACACATCTTTGTTTTCACATCATCTTCTCACTCTTCCACTTGCAAGTAGAAGAGGAATTCCAGCTCTTCTACTTGCTATTATTATGAGTTTGGGCAATTTACTCAATGTCTTCGTGCCTCAGTTACCTTATTTGTAAAATGGAGATAATAGTAGCTTTTATATAAGGATTAATCAGTTAATATTAGATATTGTCTGGTACTTAATTAGTGCTATGTAAGTATAGAATTCTGCAGAAATTATACTTAAAAAACCATAAACCTGAATTTAATTTAATTTTCATTCTCTAATATGCCAGCAATACTGTGGCCTGCTGGTATCCTTACATTGTAATTTAATAAGACATTTTTTAAAAGCCAATGTAGCAATAATGGGAGTAATAGTATTTAATTTGTTTAATTTTTCTTGTAACAGGAGGTAGTTAAGGAACTTTTGCCACTGTGAGTCTAGGATCTTGAATTTTTTTTTTTAATTTGGTATCATCAAGTACATTAATTTACCATAGAGGCACATATAATTTAATTCAAACTGATGGGAATTCTTTCCAGAAACTAGCTATAATGATAAATATTTTATAATAATTATTACAATGAAGATACTTTTTGGGGAACCAATGTAATTTTCTCTTGATTATTTGATTCTCATGTGAAAGTTAAGAAACTCAGGAGATAATATATTACAGTATAATAATCTATCTAAGGTAAGAACAGAAAATATACCTTCAACTGCCCCACCCCCAAGTCTTCCCTAAAAATCAAATTAGCCAGAAGTTGCACTTGGAAGTCAATTGTCTTTAGAGTGTGACATCTTAAACCCCTTATGCAAAGAGGCAAAAGCAGCAACACAGTGGCATGTGACAACTGGCCTGCGAGATGCTTTTCAGCTGTCTTTTTCACTGGCTAGTAGTAGACTTGAACATTGTTGGGAAGCATCTCTTTTCTTTGCATCTTTTTTTCTTTTCTCTTTTCTTTCCTTCGTTTTCTCTCTCTTCCTTCCCTCCCTTCCTTCCTTGTTTCCTTCCTTTTTTCCTTCATTCTTTTGTTCTTTCTTTCCTGCCATATTTTTCAGAGAACAATGAGCATGTTGGAGTTGTTTGATTTCCTGTCATAGTAAATGGTCATTATAATGTTTCTTGCCCTATTATGAGTTCTGGCCTAAATCTTTTACCTGTTTATGTAATATTGCAGAACACTTCTCTTTACTCAGTATAAATTGCTGCTGTTTACAAAAATATATTTTTTACATCATTGTGTTATGTTTTAATAAAATAATAAAAACATATATGTGTTGTACCAATGCTGAACTGAGTATCTGTGCAAAATTATTTTTTTTTTACATAGGATAATGACTAACCTTCCAGTTCCCATATAAATACAAAGAATGATATATTACTTTACTGAGCAGTAAATGCATGATTTATGTAATTTATTACACAGAAGTTCGTAAAAACATCTGTGAATTAAAGAGTTACATATCCAGTATTTCTAGTATGTATGTACCATATCCAACAACAAAGTATTTTATCTGCTTTTCTGCTTTCCCCAACAACCATTTATTGAATGCTTACTATGTGCCAGGCCCACTTTTATAACAAGTTGATAAGAGGCACAGGGACTCTCCCTGCCCCTATACATTACTTATCTAGTGTTCAACAAATTACCACAAGTTTAGCATTTTAAAAAAGTTTCTCATCTTATAGGAGTCTGAGTACGGCTCAGCCGGGGCCTGAATTTAGGCTGTCTTCAGGCTACATCAAAGTTTGGCCAGGACTGTGTTCTCATCTAGGGCTTTGGATTCTCTTCCAAGCACCCTGGTTGTTGGTAGAATTCAGTTCCTTGAGGGTGTTTGACTGAAGTCCCATTTTTGTTGTTGTTGTTGTTGTTGCTGGCTGTTGTTCAGGGACCACTCTCAGCAGCTAGAGGCTACCTTTACTATCTTGCTATATGGCCTTCTCCATACATGTGGTGTCTACAACATGATTGTTTGCTCCCTCAAAACCAACAGCGGTCCTCTAAATGTTGCCACATTTAATTATACACATTGAAAAAAAATTACACTCATTGATGTTACACCAATCTCATCAGAAATGTTGAGAAGCTGTCAAACTTACGTTGTTGAGTTTTTAAAAATTCTAATTTCCACTTAAAAACATAGATTTCTCATTGGCAACATAAGCTAACGATTGTTTTTCTTGAAGTAATAGGGTCAATTTGTTCATTTTCCCCTCACACCCCAAGATAATGACTGCCAAATGCTCTAGTCTGAATAACTTTGACTTGCCGGTTGTTTTTTAAGGAAACATGGTGTTTCATGAAAAATATGGCTAGTTCAGCTTCCATACTGAATAATCTCCCATTGGCTTTTCTTTGAGACGATTCCTTATCATCTTATGTTTGGCCTTAAGACCCTTTAAGAGGGTCAGTGAGGTCAAAAACACTTTCATAATAATATTAAGATGTTATTTTCTTTTTTCACTATGTTGACAGTTGCAAAAGCAGTGGTGGGTGAGATGACGGGCACCCTAGCATGAATCAAGGCAGGGGCATCGCACTGTGAGAAGCCAGTTCGCTAGTTCAACACTGGTTTCTAGCAGTTAAAGAATAAACAATGCCAGTTTCACTTAAGAATGTCCTTGATAAAACAGGACCTTGATGAAACTTGGCCCCTGAATGGACATCTTTTATTATTTTAAGTGAGGGAATGGGAACCACACAGAAAACTTTCACATTTCAAATATTCATAGCTGATCCACTTTTCCTTTGGACTCTTATTTTGATTTAATGTACAGAAACATTTAATTCATTAACATACTTAATAAATATTATTTCTAGTTTTACTATATGCTTTAGAAAACACTTTAAATTTTCAATCCATGTAGTTTCTTTCACTTTGTTGTATTAAAGATGATCTAACATTTTTGGATGACCTAACATTTCTCCTTAAATTGCTAATAAGTTCTTCCAACATCATTGTCTCTGAAAGCTTTCTTTTATCTTATTTTACAGTTTAACATACAATTTGAAGAGCCATAAATTTAGAATAATAAAGAACAAAATTCTTTCAACGTTTGTAACATTTGGAGGTCACCTGAAATTCTAAACAGCGGAAAAAACTAACAAAAAAACTCCTTAATCTCTTTAAACCCCAATATTTAAGACTGAATTTTAGTGTTATAGCATAGTTTTGGTTATTTCAAGTTTATTAACTATTTGAGTCTCAAGAGATGTTGTTTTATTATTATTTTATTGAAAATATTCATTATTTTGGTTATAGAATAGATTTTACATATTTTGACAATAAGCCTGGATTTGGGAACAATATGCTAATGGAAAGATAACTGAATTTGGAATCAAAAGACTTGGTTAATGTTTGAATTGTTTCACTTGGAAGCTTAAAGTCCTTATGCAGGTTTTTGTTTGTTTGTTTGTTTTTAGCTGCTTTGAATTCAAAGTATTTTTTTTAACATTTAGAGCAAAGTCTAATTAATATCTACCCAGAGATATGCTGTAAGATTTGGATAAGATAACAGAATGTACTTTGCCTGGTTTGTAGTAGGTGCTCAATAATTGCACGTGAAGCTTGCTCTCATTTATAACAACATACCTCTAAGATAATTCTTTCTGCGTTATGGCTCACCATCAGACATCCAGAAAAGAGGCCCTTTCTCAGGGGATTTTATAAGAAATTTCCTAAAAAATAAAAACCTATATAAATAATATAATACAATTTTGATATAAATATTTTATATATCCCTAATGAAACTAGTAATATATGAGCAATTTGCAAGTTGTGTTTTTGGTTAAATATTGTATTTTTCTTTTACATGTTAATAATTTATTTGCTCTTCTGTAAAAATGATTTAAATTTTCATCCAATTAGAAAAAACATAGTTTATGAAATGAAATGAAAGAATGCCAAGAGAAATGAAAAAAAACCATACATTTGTAATTAGATAGACAAGTAGCATTTAATCCTATTTTGATAGACTTTTTGAAAAAAGTATTTGTTTTCCACTTATTTAATGAAATATTTCCATGGGAGAGGATATAATATTTCCAGGATATAATATTTCCATGGGAGAGGAATAAACTCTTAAAATTACTTTTAGTTAATACAAGAAACAAAACTACACATACACTTGTAAGTTGACAAATATAAATTGTGTAGAGTCTTTCTAATAGTTATATTTAGTATACGAAAATAAAATTCACATGGATTTACAACTGTTTAAAGACATTTTATGTATCTAAAGATCATGTGTTTCATCATATACTTTGCTAGAATAATAGTAGAATAGAAAAAGTAGAATAATAGTGCTTTTTTAAAAAAATAAAAATAAAAAACCAATGCTGACTTCTGCGTTTATTTTCTCAAGGAAAACGGCACACATTTCAAACATTTCAAATGCATATTTTGTTCTAAAAGCCTTAGACCTATTAGGAGGCAGAGAGTAACTTTGTTCATAGATTGCCCTCAGAATAAGTCGTGAGTTTTAGGGATAAGCCAAGCTGGCATGCAAAAGGGGTTGCTGTTGATCTTTTATACTAATTTTGGATTAATTGTGATCTACAGCACTGCGTAAACATGCTATCCTAGTGCTTTAGCTTCTCCACAGCTAAACATTAATCCTTCTTAATGCTCTAAGTCAACTTTTAGTCCTTAGCAGAATTTACCTTAATCTCTGGGTAGTAAGTTAACTGATTTACAAAACATAATCCATGAGCCCAGAATCTTAAGGATGTGTGAACAGCAGCAACCTACCTTTACAGAATTGACTGGACTTTATTCTTTTACTGCAACACAGCTGATGAAGGAGATGACCCCAAACTCTGAATTTTTAGAATTCGGTTATTTTGCTATATTTTAATATAACAACAGACCAACAGCTGAACTGAAGTGTGTTGGAGTGTGTGTGTGTGTGTGTCTGTGTGTGTGTGTGGTTATGATTTGTAATTTTCTAAGTATTGCTAATAGGAGCCAATTGTTTTTCTGCTTTGTATTTTCCTCCCTTAGGTCTTTGCAACTAATGCAGTCAGTCATCTGAATTACTGACAGACCTTTCTTCATGCTTAGGTACCATTTTATTTTATTTCCTAATAATTTAAACATGTGCATTATGATCATAGAAAACTGCCCTGTATACTACGTCTGGTTTTAGTCTTTCAAATTGGAGTACAACCATCAGTATTAGCGATGACAGCCTCACAGGGTTCTATCATGTGGTTTAATTTTGAAAATCATTCATGTAGCTTGAATTTTAAATTTGAAACTCACTTGACTGTCAGGGTCTTCGAAGATTATGTCCTCTCTTACTTCAAGCCAGCCAGCAGGCCCTTTTACATTTGGTGCTCTGGTCCATCCCACTCCACTCAAGGTTTTCTGGCTTCTTGCATACCTCCCTCCTCTATTAAGATTTCTCTGAAATTACTGATGTTAGATGTGTCTAGCCTCCCCAAGTTGATAGGTGACATCTTGTATATAGTTTTTAAGTATAGCTCTTCTTTACTAAATTTTGACTCCATAGACCTGGGTTCTCTTCAGATAATTATACATGCTCATGTTGCTCCCTTTGTGCTTAGAGAGATCTTTGGAGTTTGGTTGGATCTTTGGATAGCCACCAGTGTAACTTTTAGGCTCCCATGTGCTTATTCATAGCTACGGCAAACAGCCTGGAATAGAGGCAACGAAGTGTGAGAAGTAGCCCTATTACATTTTTAGGGGAAACTTGCAAGATTATTTTGCATTTAGGAACTTCTTCTTCTCCCTTAATATAAATCTCTGTTTCTGAGCATTTGTGTTTCTCCTGGGTGATGTGTGTTGTGACGGTGTTTGTGCATGGGTGTACACTCACCTGTGTGTGCCTGATTCAGTGTCGCCCTCATTTTTTGCCTCACCCAGGTGAGAAATCCTTGAGGAAAACTGTAGTGGTGTGATAAATCCTACCCTGGGTGTTCACGGGAAATCCTGCCCCCAGTACAGTGTTAGCATAGTTAAATATAGTCTTTGGAAAATGTACTCACAGGGATTATTTTGTCACATAGATCCTCTAGTAGGGAAAAGAAGAGTGCTGCTAGACAGAGATAAAAATCCTGGGAGTAGTGGTGGGAGTTGCTTAAAAGGAAGTTAGTGAAGAGTTGGACTATAGCAATTTGAAGCAGTACTCTTATCACAGAAGGGTAGTCCTGAGGGCAGGTGTGTAGGAAAAGGGACTAGCGCATGTGTCCTGAGAACCCCCTGTTGAACGATTTTAAATTTTTGGTTCTTTTCCTTTGGAGAATAAAGATAGGCCCATAAAATGCACCATTTAAACATCTCACCTGTATTCCATTGGGATTCTCTTCAGTTAGCCCCAACACTTCATAAACTGTGATGTATTATCCAACCTTGTGTGAAGGTGATGTGGATAAAGATATGGGGGAGGAGAGGGAGTTTGGCCTCCCACACTGAGCCTGTCTGAGCATTCAGCATCTTGTCGACGCAGGCTACAGTTCAGTAGTTCCTGGAGGCTGTGAGTGGTGGTAGATGTAGCTTGAAAAGAGCAAGGCAGAGCAGAGACATGGAAGGGAGATGGTAGCCGGCAGACTCAGGAGTGGCCATTCATGCATCACACAGTTATTTATTGAGCACATGTATTTGCTCACCCTGTTATAAACTTAGGATAATCAAATAGGAAGTGTAACACAAGATTCCTCATCTTGTGAGGCATATATTCTAGGGGATGATGGGAATAAGGCAGGAAATAAGCAACAGACATGATAAACAAATAAATTATAGGATTTGTTAGAGCCTGAGAGGTGTCATGGAATAAAGAATGGAGCAGGGTAAGGGAGATGGGGAATGCCAGGTAGCAGTGAGCATGAAATCTCAAATGGGTTGTCAGAGTAAGTCTAGTTGAGTGGATGCAGTTTGACTTTGGGAAGGACATGGAGGAGGCATATGGATGTCTGGAGGAAGAATGTTTCTGACAGAGGTAAGAATGAGTGCGAATGTCCTAAGGAGGGCATGTTTTCCTGAGGGACAGGAAGGATGAGGTGGGAGAGGAGTGGGTGAGGGACAGAGTGGGAGGAGAGGTCAGAGGGGACCTGGAATTATGTCCTGCAGGCTTCTGGATCTGTGCAAGAACTTTGATTTCTATTCTGATTCAAATAGGGAGCTCTTCTGGGGAAGTAACAGAATCTGATATATGTTTTTTGTTTGTTTGTTTGTTTTGTTTTTGTTTTTTTTTTTAAACTGTGGTTTCTCTCTTGAGAGTTGATTATAGAGAGGTAAAGGTTGAAGCTGGGAGAAATTTAGAAAGTATTGCATGTTCCATGCCTGAGCAGAATGTTTGTCATGTTGATGCTAAATGTGTTTTACTGTCTACCAAAATGTCATTTTCTTTAGGTTTTAGAGTTTAGGTAAAATGCTATTCTCAATGGTCTGAATTTAGTTTTTAGATACCATGTAAAAGGTCATTTCAAAAAGTTTCCCTAATTATCTGTTCATTATTCTTTTTCATTTTCCTGATTTCCATGCTACAATATAAAATGTGTATTTCATTTTAAATTATATCTTTTGGAGACTACAGATAAATGCTTTCTATAATATTTTACATTGATGACTCAGAGTTCCAAGGAAAAACTGTCACTCAGCAGTGATTTCTGGCAGTCTGAGGAGAATAATAGAAGGCGTTAAAGTGAGTGGGAAGTAGGAGTGGAGGGAACAAGAGAAATGTCAACGGTATTGCAAAGAAGATCTGGAAGTAAAGTATAGCAAATCTGAAAATAATAATGAATACAGATGTGCCTTGTTTTAAGAAAATATTATACATAGAAATTCAAATGTTCAGAGCAGAATTTCCAACTTGACAAGAGAGAAAAAGGTTGTCAAACCTTCTCACTTTACAGGTGAGGAAATAAGTGTCCAGCAAGTTCAAGTGGCAGAGTTCTGCTGGCAACACAGATGTCTAACTCACTGCCCTGTGCAGCTAGTCAATTAGAAGGGGGTGATTATAGGTGTTGTAAAACTGTTCCCCTTCGAATGGCTTGTTCCCCTAGTGATTTTAAATATTTCACAGGCCATTAACTATGCATTAAAGAGACCGATGGTCTTGAAAGACAAAGCTCTTGCAAATTTAGGTGAATTAGAAACAAGAAGAATCTTTGAAATCAGAATTTTAGTTAAAATTTATGATTTAAAGATCAATTATTATGTTACTAGTGTTATAAAGTATGATATTTTCCTAGGGGTTTACAAAGACCAGCACTCATATACATTGCAAGCAAGACTGTGAACCAGGAAGGCAGAGGACTTATCTTTCTGTCCCCACTGCAAAGCCTTTGATGTAGACACTTGAGTTGATTAAAATTAAATTCATTTTAATATATACAGTATACTTCCCACACATGAGCCCAACGATAATACTGTAAACATATTTACATATTAAATATGACTTGGTCAAGACATTTCTTAATTATTTAAATAATTGAAATAATTTGTTCTTAGTTATTTGTTCAAACCTTACCATCACACAAAGTATTCTTTGACAATTAAGTATTCTTAATTCAAAGGGAAATGCCAACTTTTAATGGGTGCATCCACATATACCTAAATCTTCAGATATATACTTACGTATATTTATTTATTCTCACTAAAGGTCTTCTCCTTACTCCAAAATATCTGTGATAGAATAAAGGGTGGGAGGCACTGAGGTGCACAGCAGTGAAAGAGGGAAATAGAAAAGTTCTAAAATTCCTCAACAATATCCCTTCCCTGTTTATGCTTTTACATTTTACAAACTCTTATGTGTGTAGACAGAGAGAAGCAGCATGGGATAGCAGCTAAGAAAATGGGCTTTTAAATTTGACACCTAGACTTGGATTCCAGCTCTGCTACCTGTTCTTTGTGGAACCACAGGAACTTAATCTACCTACCTTACAAGGCTGTCGTGAAGACATTAATCCTTAAAATATACTCAAAGTAAACATTCACTGAAAGTGTTAAAATCATAGTGATATCTACTTCAAATATACTTATCTACCATTTTATTTGAGACAGGAAAGCCAAAGTGCCAAATAAGCCTTAAGTACATTGTTCAGCTCTTTGGCAATAAACTTACAGTCATAAAAAAGTCATTGTTTTCAACTACTATTTTGGGATACACACAAAAAATTCTGAAATGTAATAATTGAATTGGAACAGGAATTACATCAATTAGTTAAAATGCTGCTCACCTCCCATTGCATTTTGATGTTCTTATCTAAAAGCAAAGAGCTTGGCTGTAGAAGGAATAGAAATAGTTCAATGGAGAGTAATTAAAACTTATAGTATATACACATATAACTTACTGTGTAATATGTAATATTTAAAAATGTACACTTATGTAGAGGAATTCACAGACATAACTTAGGTAACTGATTTATGCTCTAAGGCTGCACAAATTTGAAACCCACCTTGGAATGACACTCCCTTCCCCTATCATCTGGAGATCTTTAATCACTTCAAAGAATCTTTTTCCAAATAAGATCACATTCACAGGTTCTGGGGGTTAGGATATAGAAATATCTTTTATAGGGACACCATCCTACCCACTATAAGTATGTTTTCTATCTTTCAAATTATTGCAATCAATATGTTTACTGATTGTTCTGTCACCGTATAATACAGGCGGCCTATAGGGAAGAGACGAGCACAATTTAAATCCGTAATTTTAAAGACAAGAAAGCTAATGTTCAAAAGCGCCATGTGACATGTTCATGCTGTTAGGAGCATAATTTCCTTCCCTGGTGTTTCTTCTACCTGAGGCATCTCCTTTGGTGCATCACTCTTGGCCTTGCTCTACCTGCCTACTTGAGTTAGGTGCCATAGTAATTTCCCAGGGCTATTGCAATAAATTACCACAAATTTAAACCACCAAATTCCTGGAGGCCAGAAATCCAATATCAAGGTGTCAGCATGGCCACGCTCCTTCTGGAGGCTCTAGGGGAAAAAGCTTCCCTGCTTCTTCAGGCTGCTGGTGGCTCCTAGAATTCCTTGACTTCTAACAGCCTGACTTCAAACTCTGCCTGTGTCTTCAAATGGCCTTCTCTTCTTCTCCATCTCCCTCTGCTTTTCCTTCTAAGGACGCTTATCACTGGAATGACATCCCCCTCCACCATCATCTGGAGATCTTTAATAATTGCAGATTGTTTTTCCAAATAAGGTCACATACACGGGTTCTGGGGGTTAGGATATGAGAATATTTTTTGGGGGGGTGCCCATCCCACCCACTCTGAGTATGTTTTCTATCTTTCTAGTTATTGCAGTCAACATGTTTGCCAGTTGTTCTGCCACTGTATAATATAGCCTGTCTCCTTTTCCAGTTTCATGTTTCTTTTCTACTTTTCTAGTCTCCACTAAGAGTTTCCTCTTGCTTTTCTGTCTTCTCAATGCCACCCTGTCCTAGAGTCGTTGCCACATATTTTAGGCATTTTTTGATTTTTTTATGGCTGCACTTCATGTTCAGTGCAAATTTATGTATTAGTTATATTACTGGGTAAATTATTTCAAAGTTTAATGACTTAGGACAATAATCATTTATTTTATTTGCCAATAAAATGACTGGCAATAAAATTTATTTGCCAATAATCATTTTACCTAGCAACAAATGTTGGTAAATAAATTTACAAACAAATTTTCCTGGGCTCAGCTGGTCAGTTCTTCTGTTGGTTTTGCTGGAACCTGTCGTGTTGCTACAGTTGGATGGTGGGTGGGCTGGGACTGAATAATTTGAAATGGTCTCACTCACATGGTGTTACTGCTGCCTAGCTGCTGTGTTTCTCTGTTTCTACACAGTCTCTTATCCTCAAGGAGGTTAATCTAGGTTTCTTTATATGGTGGTGATGTTCAAAGAGAGTGAGAATAGAAAAACAATACAAGTTGAAGTGTAGGTTCAGAACTTATACAACATTATTTCTAAGGCATTCTATTGGCCAAAGCCAGTCAGAAGGTTAGCAGATTCAATGGGTAGGGAAGTAGGAAGCATCTTCCTTTCTCTCCTTTTGGAATCTGTCTGCAGAGAACACATTTTGCTTTCCTTCTCAATGCCTTAGGTCTTACAGCAGTAGTTCTTGCTTAGAGAGGCTTGTCATTGTCCAGTGCTGTCAGTGGGTAAGTAGGTTGCCTTGTTTAGGGGTTTAGGCTTATGAAGCCTATTTGTCTGCAAATGTATGTCACATTCTGTAATCTCAGCCTTATAAGCAATTACAGTTATATTTTGTCCTCTTGCCTGGAGTCTATAAGTTTTTTTTTTTAATAGTTCAGAATTCATGGAGACTACAGGGATATTATTTATTGGGCTATACATAAATTCAATGATTATACAAATAGTAAATGACCAAATAGTTCCTAAGGCTCAGTTTTCTTGACTGTACTACTTAGGTAAAATATGATTGATATGGTTTGGCTCTGCATCCCTACCCAAATCTTATGTCTCATTGTAATCCCCAAGTGTTGGAGGAGGGACTTGTTGGGAGGTGATAGGATTATGGGGGTGGATTTCCCCCTTGCTGTTCTTGTGATAGTGAGTGGGTTCTCACGAGATCTGGTGTTTTAAAAGTGTGTAGCACTTTCCCCTTTGCTCTCTCTCCTGCTCTGCCATGTGAAAATTGTGCCTGCTTCCCCTTCACCTTCCATCATGGTTATAAGTTTCCTGAGGCCTCCCCAGCTGTGCTACCTGTACAGCCTGTGGAACTGTGAGTCAATTAAACCTCTTTTCTCCATAAATTATCCAGTCTCGGGTATGTCTTTATAGCAGTGTGAGAATGTACTAATAGAATTATCCTGGATATATAAAAAAAATCTGACACTCTGATTCAAATCTAATACTCTATAGGATTCAGAAAGTATTTGGAAAATGGTAACAAAAAGTCCAAAATAATACATATTATGAATACAGCAGCTTTCTTGTGAATGAAATGTTTGGATAAAATGATAACAAAACATCTAATTATAGGTAATATTTGCTGTACATATACTGTAAATACTATACTTAGGGATATGCATGTGGATAAGAAAAATATGTAGGAACTTAGTTACTCTTAGTTGACAATATGAAGTGTGATAAAGGAGAGTAATAAGGTTGGTAAACCTCTAAGTGATGTCAGCGTTTCATGCGCTCCTTGTAGGATATTAGCCACAGACATTTGTGTTATTTATTGCTGTCATTATGCATTTTTTTCATCCATGGCAACCTCTCATAAACCATATTGTTAGTTCAGATGATGAAAGATACTATTTCAGATTTTGGTTTAAAGGATCTTAATGATATTTTTATTATATATTGGACCTGATACTGTTTCAGAACATGTCTTACAATTTCTATGCTTATTTAAGTTGCAATTAATACTCTTCTATATCCTCTTAACTGTAGATATATTCATAGTACTACTATAAACTACAGTATGAATACCTTTCTTTTAAACTTTGGTTTTCAAATAAATTATACCTTTAAGAATTAAAAAAAACAAAAAGTAACATCTTTTTTATCCTGTTACAAAGGTTTAAAGGCAGCAATGGACTATGTAACATGTGACTATATGTCTTTGTTTTTCCATGTATCTCATTTAGATATTAGGCCTCACAAGTCTAGCAGATTTAAAGCAAATCCACAGGACATGAGAGAGCATGAATGAAATAGTAATTATATCAGAGCAGCAATTCTGCTCCTTTCTTTTGTCATTGCTGTTGTTATAATGGTTTCTGCATCAAAAATCTTTAAAATAAAACAAGAACATGGCCAAACAAACCTTTCTAATATAGGAATTTTAAGCAATTGTATATTTACACACATAGACACAAAGGCACACACGCACACACTTGCTTGACAGTAGGTAAATATTTAAATTGTTTTGTTTGAGCTGTTCACTAGATCAGGGAAAATATTGTTCTTAAAGCCAAGGTCATGAGTTCAGATTCCAGGTGGGCAAGAAAGTTTTGTATGGAAAGGAACTTGGTTCCAAAGCCATGAATTGCCCCCTTAATCCTAGTCCATAACCTAGCATATGCATTATTTCCTCTCAAGTGGGCTGATGATTTTGTGCAAACCTATCATGAGGACTGGACTGACCACTCAGCAAAAACCTTAGAGTTGGTGAGCCACTAGCATTCCTTTTCCATGTAAGAAGCTTTGCATTTCAGATGATTTTTATTGCTTACTTTGCTGAACTAAGATTGAAGAAAAGCTCAAAAATAGTTTCTACTTTTGTAGATAGTCACTAAGGTGTTGGTTTGGGGAATTTATTCTGAGAGGAGAGTCTTCAAACCAAAGCATCTATAATAAAAAGGGCCACAGGGAGCCTTGAAAAAACAAAAGCTTTAATACTATCATCCGTTTTCATTCTAGAGAATCCTTTCCTTCCTTACATTTCTCATTTCATCTCCTCCATCTTCTAGAGAAAAATTATATTTGATCTTCAACATATAACTAGAAGCTTTTATAAAAATTCGTATAAACTTGAAGTTTCAAAACCAGAGAAAATCTTCCTTCAGGAATTAATGAAGTGGGTGAGAAATAGTTTAGTTTACTGCTTATGTATTCAGGGATGCAAATATTAAACAACAGTAAACTTTTAAGCCAAACCACATGTAAATCAATCAATATAAATAAAATTACTGGCTTCTGAATTTAGCTATTTTTAAGTTTCCCCAAGGCTGTTAAGATTAGATACACTAAACCAGCGAGTTCTTTAAGCATATTCCCTTAGCAAATGTCACATGACAAAGAGATTTCAGAAGGAAAGATATGTAAAAACTTCATTAGAGCATAAAATAATTTTAGGCTTGTGATTTTATAGATCCGAACATAAGTGGGTATATTTTCCATAAAAATCCTTTTTTTCTCGGTCAGAAAACTTTAAACAGGCAATCGTTCAAAGGTAAAAATTGGCACTTAAATTTTTGCTACTTTGAATGTTCATCAGATAAATTTCATCTTTTCAAGTTGATTTCAAATTGAGATTATGCCTTGAATGTCAAACTGAGGTTGACCATCAAGTTCAATGTTTGAGATTGTCCTTGATTCCCAGAAGGTTTAGTTGCCTTGGTTAATTCATTGTTCATGTGCAGCTTATGAAGCAGCACTGACTGAGAAGTGTCCACAGTAAACCTGAATGAGCCTAATCCAAGCGGGTCAGAACTCTGAACTAAATAATTCTTCAAAGATTGATGCCAAAATTTGTCCTAATGGTAAAAAAACAATTCTGAAAGCTTGAAGCCTTTCTCTCAAACATCTGAATGACATTAAATTTGCAAAGGGATTTCACTAGGGAGGGAATTGCTTTTTCATTTGTGTTCACTGCTAATCTACAAGAAAGCTTATTGACTTTGCATAAAACTTCATGGACAAGGGAAATTGAAAATAAATGTAATATCATTTTTTGGGGGGGGGGGCCTGATGACCACAACATTACTTTTAGAATTTTGGAAACCTGAAGCACATCAAGGTTAAATAAATTGCTCTCAGGTAACAATGAAGAAAGATAATAAATCAGCATAAGAACTCTTAAGATTTTGGCTTTAGTCATATGCTTGGGGCACTGATCTACAGTAGTCTCATGTAATTTATTCCTTTCTGTGTAATATTTTTGCAGTCATCATAAATTTTGTTTGATAATGTTTGACCCTGGAATTTTTATTTGTTGTAAATGAGAAATTTATATGAGCATGTTTGTAATTTAGAAAGACAGAGTTTTTTACAAGAGTTCTCTTCAAAAGGGGGCTAGGTGCACTGACAGTGATGAGAGCATATGTTAATCTTCAGGGTCATCTCCTCCTGGTGGCAAAATACTTCTCACGTGTAAAGAGTCTCAGTTGCTGTTTAGAACAAAATGAAATCAGACAGTCATACACAGAATTCTATATTTCTGAGCCTCTTGAAAATTGCATCAGTGACAACATATATTGGTCTGTCTTCAACAAAGTGAGGAGAATATAAATTTTAAGTGTGACATATGTTCATATTTTGCAAATAAATACTACATAGCAGCACTTGGGGCGGGGAGTGGGGGAAGCGGCTGGGGGAGGGCGACAGAGGTGATAAGAGATGTATCTGGTGATTAGCCCCAGATGCTCATGTTAAGTGCTGAGTACATCTCAGGAGAATGCAGCTTTAATTACATGATCTCTATTTCTTTAATAGTTATATTTATGCCATGTGGGTGAAAAAATATTTATTTTGATATATAGGGAATCTAGGGTCAAGAGAAGTTAAATGATTTGTAAAGGTATGTGGTAGTTTAAATTTAGATGTGAGATCTGCTAAATATAACAGGAGTTCCTTAAATCCATAAATGCCATTTTAATGTTTTAATGCTCGCTATTTTGACAAATGGATTATGCATATAGAAAATATAGATGCCTGAACGTGCAATTATTTGTTAAAGGTCCTATTTCCAGGAGTAATTGAATAAATAATTTAATCACTGAAAGATAGAAATCAGACAGTTTACATTTTTTGGCAGTTACCAGTGGTTAACTCCAAATTCTATTGAAAAGTTCCTAAATCATCTCTAAAAATAAAGCCTATTTAAATGTCATGTTTCTTATTTATTTTTTCAAAAAGTAGTGGTATAAGCAAAAACTGTTTTATTTAAGCCCCAATTTTCATTATCAATTGACCTGTGTTACTGATCATTTATCCTGAATGTTGTCAACAAACAGACCAAAACCAAACAAGAAGTACTTTTATTCTGCAAGTGAACATAATGTAATAGCTGTAGGAGCTTACTGGAAAGAACTAGAAGTTTTAGAGTCTAGATCTGGTTCTTGTACTGACTTGACATCCTTTCTTGGATGTTTCAAAGACACCTCAAAATCGACATGTGTGAGACTGAGCTCATGATCTTCTCTCAGACCTGGTCATCTTTCAGTGTTTCCTATCTCAGTCAATGGTGCTAGCATCCACCCAGTCTGCAGCTCAGAAATCTAAAAGTCATCCTTTATACCTCCATCTTCTTAACCTTCCTATTTGATCTATCACATGATCCTGTAAATTTTATGCCTGTAATATCTCAATCTGCCAGTTTCTCTCCATCTCTGCTGCCTCCGCCCTAGTCCAGAATGCCATTGTCTCTTGCCTGTACTGATGACCTCTAATCAGTCTGGGAGTGATCACTCTGACTTCTTCCAGTGTGAACACTACAGCAGAGCAACCTAGTCAAACTATAAATCGAATCGGATCACCTCTCTGCATAAAATTGTTTACTTATCTTCAGATAAATGGGGCTTGGGGAGGAAACTTAATCAGAACTGCAAGGCACCACATGGTCTGTCTGCTACTCATGCTTCCAGCCTCACATTTCCCATTTTCTTCCCTTTATTATAGCCAAATGAAATCACCCCTCTTTTGGTCACTCCTACTTCCCAGCACCACAGGGCCTTTGCATAGGCTTTCTCCCTGCCTGGGACTCTCTTCTCTTTCTTCTTTGCCTGGTTAACTCCACTCATCTTTGAGGTCTCAGCTTGCACCAGTTCCTCAGGGAAATTGTCCCTAACATCACTAAGTAAAATCTCCCACTTAGGGGCTTGCATTGCCCTCTTTGTAGCTCTTGTCTTGATAGCGTTCTTACACATGTTGGTGTGGTTAGTTACTGTAGTAACAGCAGTCACTGTCCACCTCCCACATCTCACTATAGGCCATAAATTTTATAAAATCAGAAACAGAATCTGTTTCTTTATCAGCATGTTTCTAGCACTGAGTGCCAGTCTGAGTGACTAATAGTTTTTTGATACATGTTTATTGCAAGAATGAATGAGTGAGTAAATTATCTACCTATGTCTTTGTGTAAGCTACCAACTACTTTTCCCATGGTGTTCTCATCTTTAAAATGGAGAAAGATTTAATATTTTTAAAGGTCTTTGCTAGTTTTCCTCTCATACCATCCAAAATGTGTCTAATTTTAAATTAAGTATATGAAATTGGTTTGGAAAATTTGTTCAGTGCTGACTCATGTCAATCCGTATCTACTGAGTGGAGAGATTGCCCAGGCTGGTCTCGAATGCCTGAGTTCAATCAGTCCTCCCCATTTGGCATCTCAAAGTGCTGGGATTATAGGTGCGAGCCACCATGCCTGGCCAATTCCCAATTCTTTATTGTATACTTGATTGTTTTAAGTATTTACATATAAATATTTTATACTTATATAAATATAGTTAAATAAAAGTAGGAAAACCAGGGAAGAACTGTGATCTTTTACTTTACTTTGCCTGGTAAGGAGTAAATGGCAGAGAAAGAAAGTTTTAACCTCCATAAAGCAATGTGCTTATGACCCCCCAATACCACACACACACAGAGGCACACACAGAGCTAATGGGTGTCGTCTAGCTATCTGCTTGACTGAATCAGTGAACTAATGGAGGTTCTGTGATCTGAACTCAGGATTCCTGACACCCAGTCATTTGCACTCTTGCTCTTCCTTTCATCGGATTAAAATCTCTGCACATCTTTCGTGTTTGTGGGTAACAAGTGAAATTTGTTATTAAGTTAAACTTAAATATTATTGAATCAACATTTAAAAGTTTGCAGTCTATAAGGAAATTAAGGCAGAAGAAAAAAAATAGAAAAATCTGGATTTAATTTCCCTAACCCATAGTGGATTTCACTAAGAAAATAGACCTTAATGTAAACAACTTCTGTATTTGTAACGTTTTCTTTTAAAATAATGATTCTGTAAATAACTTATTGTCCTAAAATGCACAAACTGGATTCCTGAGGTCTCTGTCATGGGAGCCTTGTCTCAGGCTCAGCCAAATATAAAGTTCTCCAAACTTTCGGTATTCTTTTGCTCACAACAGCTTTTCAAAAGGTAGATGACTAGGAAATGCACTTTCATTCTCCTCTTAGTGCTTGAACATTGGTTTGACTTTAATAGGCTGGGATGATTTCAGCTTATAAATCTTCAACTGGAGGATAAAGTTCAAGTAGATAAAATCAAACAGATGTTGGTGGGAGGATTTCTTCATGACCCATAAAAGTGCTATCATCAAAGCTGAGAATCATTTGTTTTGAATTATTACACTGTTATCAAAAGGACTGTAGCAGTCTGTTTGTTGAGGAATTGGATCTGTTTATCTGAAAACAGAACAAAGATGCCATGCTAAGGCGTTCCTGGGAAAGTGTGTTTCAGATGATGGCTGACATGCTGGGGTAGCTCTGAGACACTTTGATTGACATTTGTCAGCAAACATGGTAGTCGGGACATGTCATTCTTCAAGTGATATGGAATAACCCTGTGTTAACCAGAACTTGGCCAAAGGCACGGTGGAGGGTGGTGGTAGGGAAACCCTACAGGTAAAATAAGGAAGCTCATTTCTGAGTGAACACAATTAGCTGTTAGTGGGGGAGAATAGTTTATTTTTTAAGCATGATGAATGGCTGGTAAATGACACTGAAATGCTCACCATTCTAGGAACACTTGTCCTGGAACTGGCTTCAGCACACAGACCATCTCCATGGTACTCAAGTAGGAATGATTCACATTCATGTACACAGTAGGCAGGCTCATGCTTTATAACACAACTGTCCCAAATGTGTTTGTCTTTGTATTAATTTGGTTTATAGAACCAGGTATGTTTCAGTGTTGGATGTACTTTAAGGACAATGCAGAAATGCAAAATATTAAAATATAACATGAATAAATGACTATCTTAAACCAGTAGGTAATCATGTTTCTATCAGATGAAAACTGCGTACCTGGAGTTGCCAGAGTTCCCTTTTGGAAACTGATACATTAAGAACACCTCCATTTAGCAATCAAAGTTGCCAAACATACTGAATTATACTAGTGTTATAAACTAGTCTGAGGGATTTCCTACTTCACTAATATCTCCTCCCTTAGACTCTGAAGATCCTGTCTAATCTCGTGTCCTTCTATGTACCTAACTTTGCACTCAGCACTTACAATGTGTTCTGTAAGGGTTCTTATTGTAAGAACCTGTAAAGATGATCAATTTCAAGTGATTTGTCTTCCTCCTCAACAATTGACTGTCCATGATTCCCCTCCCTATAGTTCTTACATTTTTTATTTTTTGCTTTAAGAGCCATTTTGAAACTCTGATAAATGCTATAATCATTTTCCAGAGAATACAATTGTATTTAAAATTTTGCATGCACTCACAGGGCATTCAAAGATCTGCCCAAGTCATTTTTGGTAGTTCTCCCCACTCTCCCAAGAGAAGAGCCTCTAATAAATCCTTTAAGACCAACAGAAGCCCTATTTTTTTTTTTTTCCTGAAGCTAAACTACTGCATTGCATAGGCTGTCCTACATAGCATTTAACAAAGAGGGCCTTGGAATTTAAAAGCCTAGGGTCTAGCTCTGTTCTCTGCTAGCTCTGCAATTCTAGGACCCAGCCTTTTTGGGAAGTCTAAGAGACTTAGATTCCCACACAATAATAATGGGAGACTTTAACACCCCACTGTCAACATTAGACAGATCAACGAGACGGAAAGTTAACAAGGATACCCAGGAATTGAACTCAGCTCTGCACCAAGGAAACTGAGCTTTCATTTGATTTAAAAAGTTTATGATTCATGTCTTGTTCTTATTGTCCAAACTAGATTGTAAGCTCTCTGTGGGAAACAGCTTGTCTTATCAGCTTTCTCTATATGTTGTAGGTTATCTAACATAATACTAGCTTTAATAAATTAATCAGGAAACAGTGATTATATATTAATAAGAAATAAAGCAAACAGCATAATACCTGTTTTTTTTCTATAACCTGAAATTTCTTTTTGCCTAATACTTAAGCAAAGAAATTTCAATTTAAGTTAAAAATCAGGTGCATTCCATTTAAAAAATTTTCTTATACTTTACTCCTTTTCTCTAAAAGTTAAGGATACATTGTCTACAATATTGCATTAATGAAGAATCTTGGTTTTTATTCCTAGAAAGCATTTTTCTTTTTCTTTTTTAGGAATGTGTATAGAAATTATTTGAGTGAATATATGATGATACTACGTGAATGTCATTTCACATTTTCCTCTCCATAAATCCTTCTGAAATATAATTTAATTGAAAACATGCCATGTTTTTCCAATATAATTTTTTCAAAACACTAAGAAAAGCAAATACTATGAATGGGAAAGTGTGGCATGTGGGGACCACTGCTAGAATGGAAATACAATCACTTAAATTTTTTCTCAAAAGAATGCTTAGTGCATCTAACACTCCATGAAGGGACGTATTTAAACAGACAATGGTGATGTCCTCTGATATCTGGTTGGGTGGTGGTGAGAATGTGGTGGTAACATTTCTAGTAGATATTCTAACATTCTGGGGACTTTCACAGTGAATGTTACTATGCTTAATGTTTCCCATACCATTAGGGAGTGTTCAAAGGTTTTTCTTTCTCTTCCCCTCTTCTTCTCCCAAAGAAATTACTAAAGGAAAAGGAGCTCTGATAAAAGTCAGGCTCAATGAGTCACCTTAGTGACAGAGGAATTCTGTAGTAAAAATAAGAAGATTTAAACAGAATTGATTAAATTGAGAGAAAGGCTTGACTTTCTTCCCTTTTTGTTCTCTCTTTGATGGCCAATATGTGGGATTTCACCTCTACTTTCCATAGGGCTGGTGTGTTAGATGCGTCCTGTGGGTGTTTCTCTTCCATCCATGTTTCCATTAATTTCCCCTCCAACACACACACACACACGCGCGCGCGCGCGTGTACACTCAGGGTTATGTGAAGCGCAAATAAAGAAGAATGTGAAGTGAGAAACTTAGCCAGGGTTTTGCTGGGTTTTTCTTCCTTGTTTATTTCCTACTCATTTCCCTACATGGCCAAGATTAGGGTGTTTCCAGAATGAAGGCAGCAAAGGAGCAGATTTTGGAAGCCTCAAGCTCAAAGAATTAATGTTTCTCTGGCCACATTTTGTCAGAACCAAGTTCTCCTTCATTGGAAGTTGGAGTAAAACCCAACTAGTTGAAAATAAAAAAGATAAAGAAAGAAAAGAAAGAAAGCAAGAAAGAGAAAGAGAGATAAAGAACTCCCCTCGCAAAAAGGAAGAAAGGAAAAGAAAAGAAAAGAAAAGATTATCCACTTATCTGTGGTGTTGCCCACACGCATATCTGAAAATCTAAAAAGTTGGTTGGTGGTAACAGGTCAAAGACTTGCAAATGATTTTTCGAATCTCTTATCCTCTTTGAACATCGTTAACATTTAACTGGGAAACAGCAACAACAACAAACTTTAAGAGCTTTGGTCATATATAGGCCAAAGCTTGTTCTGTTTGGCCTACATAGTGGGTTTTTGTTTTGATTTTTAAAATTTGCCATTTAAACTTAGAAAATGTTATATAAAAATTTTAATGTCAGAATTCTTTTAAAATTGGAAATTGTAACAAATATGGGTCCAAGTTCTCACCGGGTATCATTATCTGGAGCTTATTAGCAACTTACCTTTTGGACAAGGAATGCATTGTCTGGTCTGGAACAATTCTTATCATTCCGAGTGCTTATAACCTAGCATTGCACCTATTCTGGTTACTTGCCCAGTCACTGCAGCATTTGAACATGCAAACAATTTTTTAAAATGTTTTCAGGTAAAGTCTGACAATTTTTGTTGAATAGAAATGAATTAGATTTCCTACAGTTCTTCAGTCAGAAAAGTTCTATAACAAAAATCATTATCTACCCTACTATAAGCCTTCACTTCATGAAGACATTATGTCATCAAGTAACCATATTTTTCTAGACAAAATAAGATTCTTTATCTGGAATAATTATTTCTTAGAGTTTTAATAATTTCACTGCTTTTCAGACTATCTTCAAAATCTACTGAACTCCAAATCTGTAAGGTTTTTCAACCATATGAATATGAACATTTCTGTTTATGTTAACAAAAGGATTGGAAAAAGAGTATGTCTTAGAGCCAGTGAATATTAAAGGACTTCTTAGTATCCACTGGCTCTAACATGCCTCTGAGTGGTGTTAAGTTTTTTATATAAAGCTTTTGGTTGTTTTATATTTGACTAAAATGCATAGCCATTTTGGCTCTTTGGAGTCTTTCTGCATTCATCCATCTATCTATTTACCTACTTCCCTACATAGGGCCACAGCTAACAATGGAAATAATTAATTTTAATAGATTGGGAAGCCAGGTTCATTCTTTCACTTATCCCTTAAAAATATTTATTGATGGAGCCTTTATATCAGACACTGTGTTGAGTACTAAAGGAATAACTAAGCATGAGTTATAGTTTTAGATTTCAAGATTCAACGTTTTATAGACAAGGAGAAAATTGTAGTTATATAGTTTATGTAAGGTTTGAAACTAATCGTAGTATATCAAGGATTTGAAGATCCTTATTTTTTTCCAATATGCTGCATCCCTTTCTAAGCATCAAGTAATTTCATATAATCAGCCATAAATAAGAATGAATTATAAGATGTAACTGAAACATTATTTTTGATTTCTCTCTCTGTCCCATTTCCTGGATCTGATCTCTAACAGATTTCATGACTTTTCTGGTCAGTCTTAAGTAAAAGAAAGTACAGCAGTCATGTTAAGTCACAAGCAAAACTTCAAATCAAAAGGTAGAATGCCAGGATGAATATATGAATCAACATCCTCTCCCTCTCTTTTCTCCCCCTTTCTCTGCGCTTTGTTCCTCTCTCTACTCTTCAGCAGGCAGCTCTCTGTAATCTGCAATCCTGCTTATGGATGCTTTTGTGTGTTTCATGAGGTCTTTTCTTCTGGGCCTCCTGAATTGTTCTCTATTTGCCATTCTGAATAATCCTGGTTTTTCTGACAGTTCCCTCCACAGAACATCCTTCTTTTGGAGTCCCATCAGCCTTCCAGGAAGACCTTTTATGCAAAAGTCATCACCTGAGAGGGCCTGCACCCACCCAGCAAGAATCCCTGTGCCCTTGGAGGCATGGTATTCAATAGCAAATAGAAAACACCATGACAAATTGAAAGGGAACAACCATGGAAGAAAGAAAAGCATTTTATATTTCTGTACCTTTAATGGCATTTTTTTCTGTTTTCTGAAAAAAGGGTCTGTATTTTCGTATTTCCTGGGTCCTACAAATTAAGCTGCCTACTTTGTATTGAAACTAGACAGGGTGGCCAGGGTAGAAGCTGTGATACCATTAGTAGGCTACCATATTAAGTCAAACCCAGGATAGTGGTGCCTTGACCAAGGTGGGAGCAGTGGCATTGGTGAGAATGGGTTTATCTCTGCATATATTTTGAAGACTTGCCTGCCCGCTTTCTTTGCTTTCCCTCCCTCCTTCCCTCCCTCCCTCCCTCCCTCCCTTCCTTCCTTCCTTCCTTCCTTCCTTCCTTCCTTCCTTCCTTCCTTCTTTCTTTCTTCCTTCCTTCCTCTCTCTCTCTTCTCTTTCTTTCTTTCTTTCTTTCTTTCTTTCTTTCTTTCTTTCTTTCTTTCTTTTCTTTCTTTCTTTCTTTCTTTCTTTCCTTCTCTCTCTCTTTCTTTCTCTTTCTTCTCTTTCTCTTATATATATGGCAAGTCAGATACTTCTTAATTGAAACAGATTTTTAAAAAAAGCTTCGGATAAACTGTATAGAGCAGGCATAGCCAATTTAAATATAAAAATACTCCCTGAAATGCTTTTCTGCTAAATCACACTAGAAAGCATGCTTAGTAGGTGCTCCTTATTCAGTAAAATCACTGACTTCATGTGTGACTGTGGTTGGTAGTGGCATTTCTTTCTGATAGATGGCAAGTTCGTATAAAATACGTAAGTAGGTTGAACGCACATGTGCATAATTTTCTCAAGTGCGATATAAAACTCTCATAAACTAAATGTTATGTGTCCATTAAAAAAACTAGATCCATCATAAAGAAGCCCTAAAATATTTATGGATTTTAAAATAGCTTATTACTTGATTGGAAAGGGACCAGATTGCAACCATCTTATTGCAATTCTAATAATCATTAAGTCTTTTGGAAAGCCAGAATGAAATACGTTGGGTTTCTCTTTCTTATTCCCAATAAGTCACAATCCATCCCAAACCTGTGTGGGGCATTGGCTTTGTTGCTCCTCACCTGGATGCTTCCCAAGGGAATCTTCTTCTGAGGCAGCTATTCAGTTATTACTATCAAGAGATAACTGCTGTTGAAGAAGAGGGAACGTGCTGAAGAGGTGGTGAAACGAAGCAGGGGTTAAGCAGAGTCTGACCCCAAGTAAAGTAATTGTGTACCTGTATTTTGGCTGGATCAAGAATTACAGCCACAGTAATTAGTGGTGCATTTTCGTATTATGACGTGCCAGGCCTGTGACTTTCTTTCTTTCCTTTTCTTTCTTTCGTTTTTTTTTTTTCTTCCTTGAGACTTGTCCTAAGGAGAAAGCCGGGGGGAAAAATGAAGTGAGAATTAGATTAAAGCTGCCTTGCACTGCCGAATGCTGAGCCTACATGAGCTACCAGATCAAGGGCCAGCACTGGAAAAGCTTTACTAGAGTTGCTAAAAGTAAGCATAGCATCAGAATTTTGTCCTTCTCCAATGTTATCTGCTTTTAGCAAGGGTCACTGGTGGGGGTGGGCCTCCCTGAAAAATCAAGGATAAAGAATAAATAACTGTAAGCCTTAGTGGCTCAAACAAATTATTTTCCAGTTGGCAGACAGAGTGCTAAGTGGGAGGCAGTGAGTTTGAACCTGAGCGTCTTGATTGGTATCAGTGCCTGCCATTCTCTGTGTCTGAAAAAGCTTCCAGCTAAGAAACACATAATCAAGTTCGAGTAACACTCCTTTAGCACATAGAAAGGCACATAGGAAAGACATTCAAGCAGTGAAAGAAAAAAGAACCACGTAGTTGTTCAACTTTGTGTGTGTTTTTGATGTGGGAATTAACACGTATCTCGGGTGACATTGTTACTTTATATATGGAAGAAATATTTTATACAATTCAGTTATTGAATCATGAGTTTCTTCTCATTAGTGGTAGAGAATTTGATATATCTTTTGTTTAAGTTGGCAAATTCTAGACAGTCAATCTTAAAAAAGATTTTTTTCTTTTTTACTAGAATTCCTTTTACTACACTTGTCATGCTAATATTTCAACTGTCATATTGAAGTGCTCCATGTCCTATTGGTGACATTATATATTCAAAGCAATGATTAGACTTAAACATATGAAATTTGAGGACAGAAAAGAACAGTTTCCAGTTGAATTTTGATTTGCTGAATGGCAACTGATATAAACAAAATATCCTCTCCTTGGCTGTTGGCAGCCACAGTTCACCTGTCAAGAAAGTGCTTATGACCATTTCTCATTTTCTAGTGGGAGTGCTGAAAATTTACAACCTCTTTGGGAATTTCACTTTTCTTTGTGAAGCTGTAAGGGGAGCCATTATAAGTACTTTTAATTATAATCTATTTTGAGTGTTGAAAGTTCTTTTCCAGCACATACCATTAGAGGTACTGAAAAATATCTTTGGTCACTCTACAAAACGGTAAGCAGTTTTTCTGGGATTTTATTTAGCAATCCCCACCCCCCTCACCCCATAAACCTGAGGTACTTACAATTTAATAACATCAATAACTGTTCATATCATTTACTTATTGAGAACTTCATGCTGGGCTCTGTTCTAGGTACTTTACTTGTATTAAAGTTATTTACTTCTTTCCACTGCTCTGTGAGGAAAACAAAATCATCTCCATTCTGAAGCACAGGAAGGTTACAAAATTGGTTGCAAGTCACACAGCTGGTATGTGGCAGTATAGACATGGAACCCAGATTCCAAGTAGTCATTAGGCAAAATGTAGTTATGTATGTAATTCTAAATGATTAATTTCTTTACTTCATGGAGTTTAAAAATTTTGAAAAACCAGTATAATAGTAAATGCTATATTTACAAATAGTAATGACTCTTCAGTTCCTCTACAACTCTGTGGAGAATAATATAACTTATCAAGATTAATTTGGATTTTAAACCAGTATTATCTTTAACATACTAATGAATGAGAACATTAGTTGCCTATAAATGTTGACATCGTGGTGTTCAAGGTGATAACTAAAAATTAAGGGAGTGCCAGCCGGGTGCAGTGGCTCATGCCTGTAATCCCAGCACTTTGGGAGGCCAAGGAGGGCGGATCATGAGGTCAGGAGTTCAAGACCAGCCTGACCAATATGTGAAACTCCATCTCTACTAAAAATAAAAATAAAAAATTTAGCCAGGCATGGTGGTTTGTGTCTGTAGCCCCAGCTACTCAGGATGCTGAGGCAGGAGAATCGCTTGAACCCAGGAGGCGGAGGTTGCAGCAAGCCAATATCGTGCCACTGCACTCCAGCCTGGGCAACAGAGTGAGACTGTCAAAAAAAAAAAAAAAAAAAAAGTAAGGGAATGCCAATAAATGGAGTAATAGTTGAAAAAACAGTGAAATGTTAATACCATGAAATATTATGCAGTCCTTAAAAATGAGTTAGTTTGGAGGAATTCCCAAAGTGTGTTAAGTTTGAAAGCAAAGTTTGTAGAAAAATTTATAATTTGATGTCATTTTATAAATCTAATGATGTCAAACTCTCTCATATATGTGTAGGTATGTTGTGTGGGTGGGTAGGGCATGCATGCGTGCATGGGTCAGTATTTATATCAGCAAAGAGAAATACATGGAAAGATACACTCTTAAAATTTGTTGCCCAGGAATAGTGAGAGGAGTATAAGGTCCTAGAGAGTGAATGGGGCAGAATGAGGGAATTAGAGAAAAGCAAAGGGAGGGGAAAGAAAAAAATAGTTCACTGATAGATGCATAAATAATAATTGTAATAATAATAATAACATAGACACTAGCTTAGGTGTCAGGAACCAGGCGTCCTGATTCCATGTTTGACAATGGCTCACGGTGGTACCATAGATAAGTTACTCTATGGCCTAGGTTTTCATTTATAAAGTAAAGGTAGTTATATTATTTGACCTGTTTGTAGTTATTACAATGACCAAATGATATATGTCAAAACATAAAGGGCTATGGTTGCATATTTATGGCACTGAGTACCTTATATTCATTTTTTATATGGAAAATAAAGCTAGGTCTTACAATTAAATATTGTGGTCACTATTTTTCCTCCCTAGTCTTCACTCTTGTCAGGTTACATTAAAACTAACTCTAGGTTCTGCTCCTATAAACACCGCATTTCTTGAGCATGGATTGTGCTTGTTATTGAATAAGAAGTTATACAAGGCTATAAAGTTTTAAATATCCAGATGAACCCAGAAGAAAGAAGTGTTATCAATATTATTATTCTCTTTTATATGATTTTACAGTTAGAATTGCAAACCAATTGTAATAGAATTCACTTTCCAAGATTAAAAAAAATCTTTTCATACAATAAGGAAGTATGACTTTTCTATTGACACTTTAAAAATTATCAAGTGTGAACATTTACTCACTGAGTATCAAAATAAAATGATAGGCCATTTTACAGATAAGCTCAATATGTTGTTGTCATGTTGTATCCATAGAAGAGATAACATATCTATATGTCTGTATGTACATCTATCCATGTCCTTCTGTCATCTATCTATATTTAACACATGAAATAGGAAACAGAGAATGCAATTCAAGAGAGAGTTTCAGGGTGATAGGTATGAGCTGTGTATGGAGAACATTTAGTCCAGATTGGAGCAGGTCAGAAAAGTCCAGGAAAATTTTAAGAAGATTAATACATAACGTATTTTAATATTTTAAAAATTAACAAAGAGCTTAGATTTTAATGAGTAAGTACTGAAAATTCTAGATAAACTTAAAAATAATCATTATCATGTCTTCCTGGGAAGACAGAGTATTGCACAGAAAATTAAGAGATCATAGTTCACTCTATGCTTCAGCTGTGGATAAAGTTGTACAGAGCCACAATGTAAACCCAGCCTATTTTTCCAACCACAACTATCATGTAAAATATTGGGATGTTGGGGCACAGTTAGCATGCATCTGTGGCACATTAAAAGGAGAAGTGGGTATTGGTAGCAAAAAAAATACTAAATCATAATCTCCCAAGTGGAAAATCAATAGGCAACACCTTAGCTGAAAACTCTAAGTAAGAAGAGCATATTATATACAAATAGGAAGTTATTTGTCAAAAGAATCAACTAAAAGAGTCAAGAGGGGCTCCCTCTAGGGTGCAAAAATTGGAAAAGGAGAACAGAAGGCTACTGGGGCTTTGTTTTGGCACTCTGACATTTTATGTATCGGTAAAACCTTTTTAAAATCAAAACTAAATAATATTATTTTAAATCAGATGGAAATCTGCGAGATATAGCAAATGTTTTGCATTTAATTTTCTATGCTCACTTTGTACTTCATTGATATTTAAAAATTACCTATATTGGTCTTCAGGGACACTCATACCATAGAGAAAGCATGTGGGAAGATATGCACGTAAGTATATTTGGGATATGGGCAAGTGTGAATTCGCTGGACCTGGTCCTCTTTCCTACCAGTCATGGAATTTTAGAGTAGGAAGTAGTCATCTGAAAAGATCAGCTCATCTAATTCCTTTTTTTACATAGATAAAGAACGTGAAGCTTGGCTTAAGCAACCTGGCCAAGCGAAGTATGTTCTTTACTTACTTCCCTTGTGTAAGAACAAATATGTTTTCTTGACAAATAAGTACTTAGGTAACATAATAGTTTTTTAGACCAAATATAGATTAAAATATAGGTTGAAATGTGTGTTTTATGGTATCAAAAAGAAACAAAAACATGCTTTTATTACCTAATGTTCCAAGTCTTGCCCTTTGCACTTTAAACGACAAATCCATTAAAAAAATAATTTTATGCTTGAATCCAGTGATAACAAAGGAGAAAGCTTTAGGGTATTTTTAAGTCCTACTCAGTAAAAAGATGTAGGGATGGGGAGTCTTAATTTCCAGTAAATGAAAGTCAACCTGATATAATGGTTACAATATTTTTCCTGTTTTGGAAACACCAGAGACATCTTGCTCAGATGAGTTTAACATGTGAACCTGGTGGAAATCATCCTGAAACAAATTTGAAATATCATCTCTCTTTGGTGTGTTCGTTTCTCATTAGCTTGCATTTTAACATTAGTGTTTCTTATGTTGCCTGTACTTAGCTAATGGTCTACTGGGGATATATATTAATATATACATGACAAAGAATAAGTATAATTTAAAAACTGCATAATGTTCAAAACCAGCACAGTGGCTGTTGGTGTGCAGCTGAGTGATGAACTAGTGACTGAATCAGGAACATATTCATCTGGTCTCCAAAGTCTGGATATGCACAATCCCATGGTACTTTCTGTTTTGATGGCATAAGATATTTAAATGATACTTTAAATTATTAAAAAAGGGAAACAAAATAGGTGCCATAACTGCCTATAATGGTGTCAACCCTGTGGAAACGTGTCGGTCAGCCTCTGTGGGTTGTTGAATCATCATTTGTGCAACGGTGCTCTAGGTCTCATGTGTGTGTGTGTGTGTGTGTGTGTGTGTGTGTGTGTGTTTTAAACCATTTAGATCATAGGCTGCTTTTTCTCAATTATAACATAAGCATTTCCAATCATAAATATTTTTGAGAGCATGATTTTTTAAAAAAATATTTCAGTGGATGAATATGTCTGACTTGTACCCTTCTTTGGAGTTGTTTGAATTCCAGGAACAGAAACAGAGTCAAGCTAGGTTAGGGAAAGTAGGATTTATGGTAGTGATGCAGAGAAATCTCACAGAGCATCATTCAGGATGCTGAATTATGAATTATTAATATTATGTCATTAACTGTACCTTTTCTTATGTTTAGCATCCCTAGTTTCACTTCTAGCTACAATTCACTTCTCATTAATTTTAAATTAAGTTAAAAAATTTACTCTGCTATCACAAGTACTTCAAACAAACAAGAACAAAACAAAACAAAAAAAATTTTGCAAATTTCTCAAAGTCCACCTCAGTAATAAGTATTTGAAGCCTTAAGAGCAGATGCAGGTAAAAGGGTAAAAAGATATAAGGCCAGGGAGAAAAGAGAATTGCGGTAAAGAAAATAAAGGCAAACTGAGAAAGAAGCATGATAACATAGCATAAACTGAGGAGGAGCTTTCAATGTGGGGAGACAAAGGAATCAATAGATCAAGTAGAGTTAGGAATGAGAAAAGCTCACTGGCAAAGATATAGTGAAGCTAGTATGTTCATATTTTAATGGCGTTCAATAAAAATTGGTAGCATATTTCATAAGGCAGTCTGACAGTACATTTCAAGAGCAATAAACATAGTCATATCCTTTGACCCAATATTCCTACTCTTGGAAATTTAAGGATAGAGTCTAAAAAGGAGAAATATTAAGTTTCATAAAGACATTTTTTCCAATTGGTCTTCAAATGGTGAGAATATGAAAACCCACATCAATCTAATTATAAAAAATAGCTTAATTGTAACACATCACAAAAAAGGACATCCTTGTATATAAAAATTATAGAGATATTATAGAGAAAATGTAGCCACTTTTGATATTAGAGTATTAAATATCACCATTAATTAAAACTTTATGGATGTATGTCGATAAGAACTGAAAATGAAGAGAGAAAAATGAAAACAGTTCATTCCAAATATGGTGGGATTCTGGGTAATTTCCATTACAGAATATGCTATTTGATTTGGCAATTACAGAAAATTGTTCAAATTTGCAACTGTAATTTTTATATATCATGAGGCAGAAAGCAAAGCTTAAAGGAGAAGTTGTGCATGGATAAAGAAGAAACAGGAACTTTGGGAAAATGTCTTGTTGTAGAAACATGGCTATAAATGAAAGAATTGGCGTTCTAATAGGAAGTAGGTTGTATTAAAGACAGGAGACAGATTATAGTAAAGGGCTGATCAATGCAGGGAACTGCAGGCTTGAAAGCTTAGGGGGAAAAGGCCAGTGTAGACAAAAAAGTTTGAGGATGCCAGAGAGAAAGATAATAGTGGGTACTGTAAGGAAACAAAATATAGTTAAGACAAGAAATTGTTCATTCACTCAATAATTCAACACATTTACTGAGTATGCTAAGTGCTGAAAATGCTACAGTAAACAAAGCACATATAATGCAGAATACTTCCTGCCTTCACTGACCATATAGTCTACTGTGGGAGAGAGAGGTTATGCAAATGGATACAAAAGCAAATTGGATTCAGGAATATGTAGGAAATATATAAGGTATTGAAAGAGAGAGAAACAAAAAAATGCCAATTAGGGAGACCTCTCTGTGACAGGAGATTTGAGCTAAGATTAAAAAGATGTAGAAGTTAATCAAGTCAATAGAAGGGGAAGTGGTGAAAAGAGTATCCCAGGAAGAAGGGGTAGTAGGGGAAAAGGCCCTGGGGAAAGAAAACATGGTATGTCATGGAACTGAAAGGACAGAGTGGTTGGGGTGTCATGAATGAAGGGGATAGAGACATCAGATGAGGGCATAGTCCGAGGCAGGACCAGACCTATAGGTCATAATAAAGGTTGGATTTTATTGTAACAGTAATGGTACAACATTGATAAGTCTCAAGCAGAGTATGACATGATAAGATTTGTGATTTTGACATTTTACTCCAATGGGTAGCAATGTTCAGAATAGAATGTATGAGATAAGAACAAAAACCAGACCTATTTTTAAGCTATTGATGTGGTCCAGTTGAGGGTTGATTATAATTTCGGCTAGAATGGTATCACTGGAGATGATGTTTAAAATAGTGTTGCTTTTCATTAATGAGGCTTCAAAATGAGTTCCTAGCTCTAAGAGGTCTGCTGCTATGTTATCATCAAGGTTTTCTTTCCTCCCTTCAGGCGCTTTGCCTTATGAAAACAGTGTTATCATGGCCACCTTTAATTTATTTGTTTTGTTGCTATTGACAGTTTGTGGAATACTAGGCCACTAGGCCAGGGCAAACACATCATAATGTACAAGTCATCTTTTAGATTTTTCTCCAGAATAACAATCACCTAAATCTTCCATTGCCCAGATTTTGTCCTCCTCAAATTTTCTTATTTAATGGAAGAAGATTCCATTGCCTTATTCTGAATATTAGAGTACTGTTTTTCTCTCAAGATTTCCCCTGTGTTAAGTTCTAGAGTTGAGCTGTCCAATATGGTTGCAATTAGCTACATGCAACTATTTAAATATAAAAGAGTTAAACGTGAATAAAACTAAAAATCAGTTCCTCTGTTGTACTCACCATATTTCAAGTGCTCAATAGCTACACGTAGCTAGTGGCTATGTGGTGTACAATACAGATATAGAACATTTCCAGTATCACCGAAAGTTCTATTGGATAGCACAGATCTAGAGATTCTTCACTGTCTTTGCACAGATAAGCTTGTTATCTATCATCTGATTAACTACAGTGATAATTATAGATTCTTAAAGAACTTTTTTTTTGCAAGTTCTTGGTATATTCATAATGGTGGCTATATATTTTCATGACAGTGGCCTATTGTCTTGTTACAAATAGTTGTGATCAGATAGTTTAATAATACAATTAGCCTTATATGTTAATAATATATTTAAAAGCAATGTCACATATGTTATTTTATTTAAATCAGCAATCCTGTACAGTAAGTCCTCATTGATCATTGTCAATAGGTTCTTGGGCATCTATAACACATAACAAAACCTATATTACCATAGGCTAATTGATTTAAACAAGAATTAGGTTCCTATGACATATTTCTGGTCACAAAAACATCACCAAACTTCTAAATGAAGACCAAAACACTTATACTATTAAACAAAGAAATAAATGTGAGCTATATATCCATTTAAGAAAGCTTAATAAAAACAAGTAAGATAATTATTTTCCCAATTTTTGGTAAATTAGCAAGTGATAGCAGCTCTAGTGGTGGTGGAGTTCAATCAAGGAGTAAATGTTTATAAAGCAAAAATTGTAAGGAGCACTTCCCACCACACAATTCGAAATCACACAATACAACAGGTTCACTGAGCATTTTTCTACCACATTGTTTATTACTGTGCATTTGTATGAAATTGAATATTTTATACACTTTTATTTTATAATACTTCATATTCATTAATTCATTTTCCAGCCAGCTTAATCCAATTCAGGGATGTGGATGGCTGGAGCCTCTCCTGGCAGCTCAGGGCCTAAGGCAGAAACTCACCCTGGACAGAAACCACCCCATTGCAAGGCACACTCACACTCATACCCACCATCACTCAGTCTGGGACCATGCAGACATGTCAATTCACCTCACTTGCACTTTTTAGGATGTGGGAGGAAACCAGAGTACCCGGAGAAAACCCACACAGATATGCAGGGAACGTGCAAACTCCACAGACAGTGGCCCTGACCAGGAATTGATTTTTTTTTATTAGTGTTATAACAAAATCATGTTGAATGATATAACATTATTTTGAGGACATCCTGTACATTTAAAAAGGTATGATTATCCCTATTCTACAGATAGGTAAACTGACGCTCAGAAGAATTAAGTAATTTCATAATAAGCCCTAAAAATAAAAATAATAATTGAAACAATAATGAACACTTATTGCCAGGCAGTGTTCTGAGTATTTTACATGTATTAACTCATTTAATCTCCAAAACAACTTTAATATATAACTCTAAGAGATAAGAAAGACTACTTTTTTTTTTTTTTTTTCAGATGAGAAAACCAAGACACAGAAATTTTCTCTTAAAGAGGTTTCTACGGTAAACATTGATATTTTGGGAAAAATTGCTCGATCTCTCTTAGCCTCAGTTTGAGTTTCTATAAAATGAGTATAATGTAAGCAATCTCATACAGCACACATATCAATCAGCTTTTGTTTGGTTATGTTATGATTCCAAATAATCCCCAAATCTCAATGATTTACAAGTGAGGTTTTTTTCTTGTTTTTGTGTGTTGGTGGCTTTGGCTCTCATATCTTACTCTAGAGATTGGGCTAAGGAGCTGATCCTATCTAGGACACATTTTCAGGGCAGAGGGAAAGAGAAAGAGCTGGCAGAAACATACGATGGTTTCTAAATTTCTTCTTAGAATTGGTGCAGTATTACACTGTTCACATTTTAACTGGCAGTAGCAAGTCATGTGGCCATCCTCGATGACAGCGTGTCCTCCTTTCACAAGGAAGCCCATCAAGTCGCATGGCAGTGGTCTAGGATGATTTTCTTATAGAGAAGAGGGGAACTGTGCTTGGGACCAGCATTACAATCTGCCACAATATGGATTAAATATAATAATATAGAAAGACCTAATTCAGTGCATGACATCTAGAAGTTCACCACAGTTACAGTTATGATTTCCTTTTTCCTTCCTTTTAATGCATTCAGGTAAATCTTAGAGCTTTGAAATAAAGTACTGATTATAAAAGTGACATATGACAATTATTCTTTCCTCTTGTTCCAGGAAAACTTTAGTTACATTTTGCACAATTAAGCATGTATTAAAAATATTTGGATTGACACAAGGAAGACTTAGAAAAAATTTCAGATTTTTTTCAGAATTAAATTTATTTTACATTGATAAAACCATGAAAAACATTTACATTTTCCCACATTACAGCACAACATTTCAAAGGAATATTTCTTGCCATAAGTAGTATCTTGCTGATCTGCAGAACTGAAACAACAGTTTATATTCTTTAAGGTAAAGAAAAATGACATGTTTAAAATTTTTAAATCCAGACAAAAACATATGGCTTCATTATTAACATCCTATATATTCCATTACTAAATTATTTTCATTATTGATTAGCACCAGTTTATAAAAATGCATTCTTAATGTTGTTCAGCTGGAATACAGCAGAAAAATTAACACAGTTCAGAAATATCAAGCATACATTTTTGCTTAATATTAATCTGTATGGTAAATACACTTTATGTATAGGGCTCTGACTAGTCTTTATTACCCATAAGTTTGTTTTCAAATAATTTTTACCAGTAATCTGGAAATTTTGACAATTTAAAATGATTGCTATTTTTATGTTTGCATGAAAAACTAATATAAAAAATAATTTGACTAAAGTGAAAATTTCAAATAAGTCCACTGGCAGATGAAAATAAAGCAAACAATTACAATAGATTTCTCATCTTCTACAGTAGTTGGTTTCAAACATGTGTACAAAGTAAATTCTATGCTATAAGGAGATGAAATCATCTTAGAAATTAGTTTTTAAGATCAGTCTTAAAGATATTTCAGAACATACTAGAATATGATCTAATTATTCTTTCAGTTGTTTACAGAAAAATAAAAACACAGAATTATTCCTGTTACCTGGGCTGAAGATCCTAATAACTAAATAGGTGTAAATTTGAATATAATTGGAAATAAGTAGTGCATAATGTCTGGTTTCTCTATAAAGCATAAATAGATTTTAAATACCTTATATCTGTGACTCAGAATGTCAAATTACGGCATGTATTGACAGTAGCTGTCTATGGCAGAGAGGCAATATTTGGCCTACTATGAAGGACAATAAAGAAAGAATGAACTTTTTTTTCCTTGAGAGAAAAGAATATTAAATAGAAATAATATCAGGGAAAAGAAAATCCTGGTCCCAAAATAAAAGGGTCATTAATTGAAGACAACAATTTTACTCTTTTTTGACAATGAATAGCATTATCTGTATTATTAGGAATAATGTAATACCACTTCATTCTTATTATGTATTACAATCATGTATATATGAATACATATATAAAAATACAGACACTGCGTCGTGACTAAGCAATTTTGGAATAAATCCATAGACCAAGTCACAGCATGCATAAATTGTTTACATCTTAACTGCTCATTTATATCCGAACAAATTTTCAGTAAGCATACTGCTAATTTTCAAATGATGTAATAAAAAATCTGGTGGCAGTATTGTATTATTTTGCTGAATTACATTTGAGAAAAAAGAAGCTACCTGCTTCATCTATTTTAACATAGTATATCCTGGATCTTCTTATAAGAATACATGTATAGAAACTTAAAAGGTCATAAATTTCTTATGAGGAGACGTTATTTGATCTGTGTCATTGGCGTGTATTTGCAAAACATTTTAACACTGTAAGCATTAGAAATTTGAAGACTGGGCATGGGAAAAGGTTTATACTCTACTACAGTGATGCTGGTGTACTTCTACACAAGGCCTCTTAGTGACGTCAATCAATTGGAAGTAGGAGTTTATCAATGAATTGCTTGACATCCATCATTTCCTGTTGACATGAGCTATGTATCATACCATCATAGGTTTTAAAGGTCACATTGGCTGGATCGCCAAAGTTTTTAGTTTTTCAACCGTAAGAGAACCAAACATCAGGGGAACTAACGGGTCACAATCTCCGTGGCACTGGAGAATAGAAATATCTCTGTTAGCGCCCCTGATAGGACCCTGTGGAAATGAAGCCCGAAGTGGAAGCCAGCAACTGAGCGCAGTGACATCCGCCAGTTTCTGCTACGTGGTAAGGGCAGTATATAAAGATAAAGCTCCTCCCTGAGAAAATCCTCCTACAATAATTCGGTTAGAAGGAATGCCATTCTTCACTTCTTGATCGATCAAAGCTTTTATATTTTCTGCTGCCTGTTTAATCCCAGGTTCGTCCTCCTGTGAATCTGGTGAAAGCCCAATAATATCAAACCATGAAGGCACAGCCATGTTCATATTTAATGTAAAGGCATAACAGGAGCATGCAGGCAGATATATTTGATATGTGAACTTCTGATACCTGCAAAGGCTTCTATCCATCGGTGCCCAGTATCTCCCAATCCATGAAGGAAAATCACCGCCGCGGTGGCCTTCCAGGTGGCGGGCACGATGGCTGGCAGCGGGGCTGACATGTTATTGCTGCACATACACCGGCTCAGCTCACAGCGCAAACGGAAGGAAGAGCTGGCGCCCGGCCGCGGCCCAAGGGCGTGCAAAGGGCCAGATTGTTTCCGTAGTTGCTTTCACTGACCTAGTGTTATGTAGTTTATTTATTTATTTAAATATTTATGTATAAATAAAGAAAACTTTACAATTGGTTAGATATTATTTCTAAGCATGTAAGTTGATCTATGTAATGAGTATGAAATTATGAAATAAAAAATAAAGCTAAGTGGGAAGAAAACTATAACTGTCTGGATGAGTTCCATGTGCCATAAAGGAGTTTGCTTAAAAATGCTCTTTGCTATGGTTGCTTTAAATTAGTTGGTTTTGTTGCTTGGGCTTCAAAGAATGGCTTTATATACAGGGAAGTAGTTTTTATTTTTACATACTCCATAATAATGTGGTTCATATCAATATAAACATCATGTAGTTCTCGAAGGCAATAGTTAATTTCTTCATACTGATTTGTGATTTTGAACACACACACACACCCTAAAGTTATGTATAAATAAGGTTTTACCCTAAAATGTATGCATAATGCTTAGTCTGAAAGACTATTTTCTACCAGAGAAAGAATTTAATGGATAAAGTAGAACTGTTTGAAAATGAGCAAAAATATTAGTCTACCATAAACATGTTTTGTTAGATAAATTCAGATATTTATGTTTGATAATTTTGAGTATCTTGATTCTAGAAGTGAGACTATATGAAGGATGTCAAGGCAGTCATTTGCCAGACAGTAAGTAATTATTTCTTTATACTTTGTTTTAACAGACTGTCTTATTTCAGGAGAATTTTTATTTCTGAAATCAATGATCAGTGTTATTATTCCTGCCATTTAAATAAGCTGCAGATATTTTCTTGGTTAAAGCAATACAGTGACAAGATTTTGTAGTGTAGCCCATTCTTTTAGGGATAAAGATATTTATACATCACTTTCTGCCAACATAACATTTTCCATTCTGACTTCTGTTTTTGCCTGTTACATGTTCATTCAAAGGCAAGAAAAGCTCAGCAAATCTGTCTATAAGAGTATCCTTTGGCTTTAGGAATTTTTAGCACCAGTAAAAATGGAAACTTCTATTGTTTTCCTTTGGTGAAGACTACTTTGATGACAAGAAATACCTGTAGTCCAGATTAAAAGAAGAAAACGTTTATGGAATAGAGAATTATTTTCAGTGAAAACAATTGAAATCATTAGAAAGTCCACTTTTTGTTGTTGTTTTTTGCCTGCAAGAACAAAATGGTCATAAGCAAGAAACAAAAATATTGCTTCACGTTTGAAAGGCCTCTGGAAAAAGTTCAAAACAATTTGAAGACTACTGCCTCATCAGTATCTTTAAGTGTTAGAATTAGGAGAGACTTGGCATTACTATAGATTTTATGATCTTATTTAAAGAAACATTCTTCATTGCAAGAAAATGGAAAATTATAATTTAAAAAATAATTTTCATGGTTATAGATATATAACAAATACCTTCACTTGGGATGTTATCTGCTATACTGAATATTATAGATTTTTGTTAAGTAATTGTATAGAAACATAGGCACAAATGTAACATTTAAAATAAATATGGCTAAATGTTTCCTCATTATTAGATTGCTGTTCTTGTTGAAGAAAATAACTTCTTTAATTTTTCAGTTTTTATCCTTATTCTTTAGTAATTCACTGATTAAAAATATTAGGAAATAATAACTGAGATGATTCTAGTATTATAGGGTGAAGGATTATATATGGTAATCCAGGTCAAGTACTTGATACATTTCCTAGCACATTGTTCGAGCTCAGTAAATGTTAGGAATAATTTATTATTAGTAAACCAGTTTCGCGTTGCCACTAATTTATTGTGTCATCTTTGGTCAGTCATTTATCTTTTAGGCCCTCATTTTCTTCATTTGAAAATATGGGGGAAGGTTTGAAGTAGATGATCTCTATATCTCTTTAAGCTATAATAGATAAATAATTCTACTTTGTAGTGTACTCAAAGTGAATGACTTCTAGGATTCTGGGGCTTGATTTAAAGGGTATATATAGCACTTGTTATGTAAATATATTGGCTATTTTTTATATAGATGCCATTTAAATAAATCATTTCCTTTCCAAGAAATGTCATTGGCTGACGTTAATTAATTTTTATAAAGATCTTTGAAGATGAGAAGTGGTATATAAGTGGTGATTATTATCAAACATGAGGAGTGTAAGTTTAACATTGCTATAATATACGGTTTGAATCAGAAAATAAGATTATATTAGAATAATTTGTAATAACACCAACAAAAAGCATGAATCCCTTTTCTGAAGGAAACAGTGCATAAAATTATGCATATGTAATACATGCTTAAACATTTTATTAAATACTTTTACAATGACAAAAAATGCTGTATATGACGTTCAATTCAAAAATTTCTGGAATGAATCTTAAGCCCAACTGTTACTAAAATATAGAGGACATTGCTTTTGAAAGTTTTTTTTAATAAATTGTTTGCTATTTATAATGTACATATTGGTAATTGTGACTAAAACCTTTTGGCTACCCAAGGTGGTGAGGTTTTTATATATAGTAGTCCCCCTTATTCATAAGGGATACATTCCAAAACCCCTAGTGGATATTTGAGATCACATATAGTAAACAATCATATGTGTACTATGTTTTTCCTATATATACATACCTATGGTGAAGTTTAATTTGTAAATTGGACACAGTATTCTTGCACTTTGAAGCCATTATTAAGTAAAATAAGGGTTATTTGGTCACAAGCACTGTGATACTGCAACAGTAGATTTGATAATAGAGCTGGTTAGTAAGTGACTGATGGGTAGGTAGCATATACAGTTTGGATACACTAGACAAAGGGTGGATTCACATCCTGAGGGGGACAGAGTGGAACAGAATGATGTGTAATTGTAAACTTATGAATTATTTGTTTCTGAAATTTTCCATTTAATATTTTCAAACTGACTGACCACAGGTAACAAATCACAGAAACTACAGGTAAAGGAAAGCTACTATAGTTTCATTTCAAGGGATAAGTTGGCATTGACTCATAGTGTCTCTAAATAAATGGAATAACCAATCCTGCAAATATGTAGTGCTATGATGCTATGCAACTTAAAAGGGTTAAAATATATAAACACACTAAATTTTGATTCTAGAATTCATTATATAAGTCTCTATGATAAATTTCCTTTCTACTTTAGCATTTTATTAATCCTATATATTACCTATTTTCAGAAACTTATTGCTAAAACATATTTCTAATACAAAGTCTTCCCTATACCAAGAAACACTACTTATCCTCATTTGTAAGTCCAGAATGCTTCCTTGGAGGAGTAGAGAAGCAAGGGCAAAGAATATCTATTGAGATAGCTCATCACCCACCAAATACCTCCATGCCATGCATATCTAATATAGTCTCATATAAATAGAGGGATAGATAACATACATAATAGAAATATTCTGAAAATTTTTGTTGACTTCTGCCTTAAGAATGCCTGATATTCATTTTAGTGTGCCATTATTTAAACATATGTATATAAAATATATAATCTAGAATGTTTTAATTAATACTTAATATCTAAATTATAGAGTCACTCTTTCAAAATCAACAGATATTTGGTGATGTGTTCATCTTTAAAGTACAAGTAATTTAATTTTACATGATAGAAAATGTAAGTTTTTTACTATTTTAATCATTTTTCATGTCTCTATGTAGACAAATATTCATTAGTAAATCCAAGTGTTTCTTAATCTTAAATGTTGAGAAAAAATATTGGCAAAAGAATCGTCATCTTACAAAAAACACACACAAAATGAGGATATGATTTGTGTAAATATTTCGCCATTTGGTAAGGCTAACTGTAATTTCTTGTAGCACATTTTTTTCTTCACAGTAATCCAGTGTTTGTGTATTTAACAAAGTAAAGCTGAGAGATTTTGTGTCTCATAAACTTCTTAGGAGAGTCTCTTGGCATCGTCATTTACCACTTGTCTTTTAGTCCTCCTTGGTTCATTTATTTGAAGATGAAAAACTCAAAATGTTATGACTTGCTGATGTTTTGCCTTCTCTGTTACTGTTCTTCCTTAAACATTAGAATAAAATGTTCAAGAATATTCATTGTAAGCATGTCCCTGAAGCTATTTCCCTAAGGCAATGTTGAGTTTCATATCATAGTGATGATTTTGATAAAAGGATTTGATACTATAAAGTGAATTTGTATAGGTCCGTCATCTGGCCATCCTGTGATGATAGCATTTATTTTCTCAAAATCTTGGCAGGTCTGCAAAAGAAGTCAATGAACTAAAGGTTAGACAAATGTGCATAGTATCACTGTATCAATACATAAGCAATTTCAAGTTTTTCCCTATATTAAATGAGAGTTGGGGTTAAAGTCATTTCTGAAACTTTTAATTTTCAGAATATTTTGTAAAAGTTTATTTTCATAAAACATTTATAACCCAAGCACAGTAATATTACTCTTAGAGTGGAGATCGGTAAAGGAACAAATGAGTTTAGAGAGAATTCTCTAATAACTAGCTAAAAAGTAAAAATTCTGTGAACCAACAATTTGTGATAGATTAAACTCAGCCTTAATCATGGCTTAGATCTCATCGAGATCCCTTACAAAAATACGGATAGCACTTCCCTTCATTTCCAGTGTTAGATAGTAGGCCATTGCTTGAGACCTGTATTTCTGCTTGGCCTAGTTTCTTCTCTACACCTACCACCAAAACTTTTGGAAAGAAGGCATGATGGAGGAGGAGATGGTTCTGTGTGAAGAGAAAGAATAGAAAAGCAATGAAAGAGGAAAACATAATGGCTTGACATATTAGAGAACTTTAAACATATATCTATTTATCATTTATCGCTATCCTACCATCTATCTATGCAGCTATCTATCGATCAATCATCTGTCTATCCATCTATCTAATCCATCTATCTATCTGTCAATTACATTTTAAAAGCTCTCTTTTAATTCTGCTTCAATTGGAATGATTCTGTCTCCTGTTAACAGATAGTGTTACAGGGCTTGTTGTAGTTACCACTTTCCAAATCCTTGTATGCAGGGGGAAAAAAAAAAAAAAAAAAGATGTGATGCATTCTAACCAAGCTCGGTTGCATTGAATATTGTGGTTTCTCCTAGTTGATCCTCACTTGGCTCACTTACCAATTTTTTCTCTAACTCATTTTCTGAAAACGCTTCCCAAGTAAGACATTTTAAGTTTATAGGCAGAATTGCAGTAATTTAGAAGCAGTTAAATTACCTAGACCTTTCTATTCCAGCCATTTTTTAAATCTAAAATTATTCTGCCAACATTTGTTTAAATATTGAGCCAATTGACATTAGTGAGTCTTGACTGTTAATTAAGAACAAATTTTCCCAGATACTGAATAGTTATGTAAATTGCATAGCAGATGTTTTTCCAGGAAAGATCCAAAGTTCAATATTCAAAATATCCATGGAAGTATTTTAGTTAAAATATTGAATATTTTGGAATAAAAACTGGTAATATATTTTTATCTTTTTAAATTAAGTTAATTTAAAAAACTTATTTTAAGTTCAGGGGTACATGTATAGTTTTGTTACACAGGTAAACTTGTGTCATGGAAGTTCGTTGTACAGATTATTTCATCACGCAGGTATTAAGCCTAGCACCCATTAGTGATTTTTCCTGATCCTCTCCCTCCTCCCACCCTCTACCCACCGATAGGTCACAGTGTGTGTTATTCCCCTCTATGTGTCCATGTGTTCTCATCATTTAGCTCCCACTTACAAGTGAGAACATGTGGTGTTTGGTTTTCAAAACAGGTAATATTTTTAGGAAGGAATTAAATCATGATATTTTACAAATCCCTTAGTTTACCACATATTTCTTTTGCTTCTTAAAGTAAATACATCATCACTGGGTCAAAAACTAGTGATTTATTACTAAGCATTAGAAATATTTATGGTAATTATTTTTGGTATGATGGAATTTTATATTTAATTTAGGAATAACATCCCCCTAAAAGTTTCTTAATTGAAATAGTCATACTCTTCTTGTTTCCTTCAAAATAAACATCAGTATTCATCAGATGATTGATATATTGATTAAAACATAAATAATACCACCATTTTTTCTTATGTAAAATGTATTTTCCTTGCATTGCTTGTACTAAATAGACAAGTAGAAGGCATATTTTTATGAATAAAAATGTCAAGTATTGTCTAGAAAAACCTATCATAATTGCTTATTTCAGTTGTCACTGATGCATCAGTTTCTTATTGCTTGTGCCACCAATCCAGAGATACACACAAATTTTAATGTACCTTTAACATAGCGTATATTGCTGTTAGAGAATGGTTTGGAACAAAATCCAAGAGTTTTGATGTGACATAGAGCGACTGGTACTAAAATGACCACTAAAATACCTTCTTCTCTTATTAAAGGCTGCATTACCACTTTTTGAAGTTGGTTCTTAGCTAGAGACATGTAGAAAGAAGCACACTTAATGACATGATTAATTTTGCACAATTTAATGAAGGAGGTAGTTCAAGGCTGTTGGAAATAGTTTTTCTGAAACATAAGTACTCTTACTTTAAAAATGCCGTGTTTATTTTTTAAGGTATTAAAATTTACTTGAAAATGTTTCTATACCTTTCAATGAGTTCAATTTCAGACATATATATTACATAATTTAAAACTACAGGAAATTATTTTGTTTTGTAAACAGTAAATATATCTTTTTAAATATTTTTATTTAACAAGGGAACCAGTTATTATGTGAGACTAGTATTTTGTAGAAAAATCATGATGTTATCAAATTAAATAAAATTCTTTATGTCTTTAGAGCTGCTCATTTAAAAAGATTTCTTTGTCAAAATGCCAAAGAATAAATAATCTCTCTATCAAATTACTTTGGTAGTTTTGAGCTGACACCCAGAGTACCCAGGCTTTGCGGTCTCTGGCAGAAGGGCATGTAGTTATAAACTTGCAGGTCCTGGGAATTTTTTTCATGTACATGAACCCACCTCAGGAAATTCAGGATTCCCAGAAATGAAGATCTCAGGGGACCCCAGGATCTTTAATATTAATTGTGAGCATTCTTGAATAATATACTGTACAAAGCAGCCATTTGCAAATTTATACTAAAACAGAGTGAAATCAAGACAAACCAAAATAGTCTGTGCCCCTTAATAAGTTGCTCATCTTTAAAATGAGCACTAAACTGTGTTTCTCATGCAATATAACCAGACAAATTACTCATCTTTCAAAAAAAGCAAATCCTTATTAATGCATCAGTCAACATTTTTTAAAATGAAATTTGTCATCTAAATTCAAGCACTTCCCAAATAATCAAGATGTATCAATACTCTACATGTGTATGCCTAGGTATTAGGTTAAGAAACAAATATATTTAAAGGCTACAGTTGATTTATGTACCTAAAATGTAATTGTTTTATTATTGTGAAACTAAAATAAAATTTCATTTAAGATGCCATATATTATACATGATTTGTAGAGTTTGTGATTTCTTAAATATGTAGTGCTTATTTTTGAATTTAGTGACACACACTTGTATGGAATGCTGGGATTGTGATGGAATGTTGAGATAGGGTGGGATTGAAATAAAGGAAACTACTCCAAAAGAGTGGTAAGAAAGATTTAGAATGTTACGAATTGTTTTCAGGCTTTGAAGTGTGCTACCTTTAATACATGTGTTTGTCTTATATTGTCTTTCTAGTGTATTATACTTTAACTCAGTGGTTACTGCCAAATCCATCTCTCCTTGATTTAGTTGTAATAAGAAACTTGTTTTCTTTTCTCCCTTTTACATTTTCCCCCTTTCTGCACAACTTTGCTTTATTCTTTAACTCCTCCTCCCCAAATCCAAATGAAGTGTCACAATTTAGACTTCAAAGCAATTTTTTAAGTTTCGTAACTCACTTGAAAGAAGGGGTAACTCTCTTCTATGCCCTGTACGATTTTGTCTTCTAAATAAAATGCTTTGGCAATTTAAATTTATTTCAAAAATGCGGGTGGAAAATTGATTTAAAATACTTTAAAATTAATGGTGCATTAAAAGTTCACTTTATTCTAGTTTATCTAGAATGGTTTAGGGGCCCTATATAAAACTTGGGGCTGTGTTCAAAGTTTGTTATAAAAATAAAGCACTAAAAGTTTTTGGACTGATTTCAGAAATCTAACAAGGTTCTTAAGGTTCTTATCAGGATACTTTTTAAAGAATGAATAATCATTTTATAGGGTAAAATCTGAGATAATGTGGGTAAACTCTTGGAAAGCACGGTTTGTGTACACATTTTATTGCCCGACTGCCTAGTTCCACTATTAGGCAGGCAGGAAGCCATCAATACAAGCTTCTGGAATTGCATTGAGTTGGAGACTGAGGGTAGTTGAGAAAGCCAAATAATGTGAATGGGTATCAATCACTGCAAAAATTCTCACGTCTTACGATATGTTTTTGTTGTATTAAAGAAATGTTAGAGAATCTAAAGTTGGAAACTTATTTGCTATTCATTTTTCAGTAAAATGTTAATTTTCATTTAGCAATCCTCAAGAGATTGTCGTTAACAGTTAATGCATCAAAGGCAATGCTTGTCTTGACAATAAACCAAGAGGATATTTATTATGAATTTGTATGTTTTCATCTTTATTCCCTTTACCTCATGTGTTGTTTTCTTTTCTTTAAAAATGTAAAAAAGATGGAATACTTACTGAAGACAAAGCTTTCTACAAGCTTTATTTTTTTTTATTTTTTTTTATTTACACTAACCACCCTGATTGATAAGGATGTCTCTTTAGTGGTTTGGAACACAGATCTATGATCTTAAAAACAAGAACAACAACAACAACAACAACAAAAAACCCAAAGATGTTATTTTTGTAAATAATCCATTATAATTTAACATTTTCTAAGAGCAAATCTCTAAACATATCAGTTACAACATCATTGGAAAAAAACCTAAAATTCTATTTTGCCTGTATAATGAATTGTCTAGCAAAATGCCTTGTACACAGTAAGAATTTAGTAAGTTTGTAATAGTAAGAAGAATGTAATTACTTCATACAAGAAAATTAAGTTTGTGATAATTGATCCACTACAAAGCTTGAAAGTAGACATTTCATATATTCTATCAGTGGACGTGCTTTAAAACAATATACACTTAAACATCTATGAACCATTTTTAAGTTTCTAAAATAAAGGAAATCCAGCTAGCTTGTTAAGTGTCTTATTCTAGGTTAAAGTTGACTCTTTAGGTGTGTGTAGGGGTGTGTGTGTCTGTGTGTATATATGTATGTACACATTTTATATATACACATGTAGATATACAGTATATATGCTCTTTCTTTACACACACAGAGACACATACACACATGAATATAAAGTAAGTCATATTTTCTGATTCATGTGGTCGTTCCAAGGATGCTTTATTTTCTTCATATCTGATTGATCTCCCATTGGCAGTGTCTCCCAGCACTTGAGCTCTAAGTTTTTCTGCCCCCATAGCTTCTTTGTCAAGTAGTTAATGATCTGTCAACAAACACTTAAATAGGGAACTCCCTATTTCCATGAAACCATCTGTGAATTCTTTTGTGATATGAATAATCACATTCTAATTTATCTGTTTTTCAAGTTATCTAACTTTCTTAAAAAGAGGCTGTCTGGTGATATTATTTTAGAATATGAAATTTTTAAAAATTGATCTCTCAGGTACTCCTGGTCTTAAGCAAGAAATATGTAATTAATGGCTAAATGGAATCCTCAGTTAGGACCATAAATATCAAGGCCAATAAAGAAATTCAAAGCTAGAATCTGCTTAATATGCAGTAATCTATAGCAACTCTTATAACTCATGATAATTTGTTTTGAAGATACAGAAAAATGGGTAATACTCTGTTTCTTAGTAAAATAAAGTCAGTATTATTTGAGAATTTCTTATTCTCCATGTCTCTGTATTTATAAAAATGCACTTATTTTAAAAAATATTGTATATCGGAAACCTAAATATATGTATTCAGTGTGATTTATCCCACCATTAAATTTTAGAGGGGAAAATAATCATCAGTCAGGCTTACAAAAGCTTTTATAAAGACCAGTGTTTAGAGTTACTGTGGCTTTGAAATACCTCAAGTGGTTTCTATGGAAACATGAAAGTCAAGCAGAGAGATAATTTTAGATAATATTTAATATATCATCTACTTCCTCAATAATAAAAATAGAAACCTAAACTTTTCAGGTTGTTATAATTTTCCCCCCCAAAATGCTGCATTCTTAAACCCTTTGAAATATGTAGATGAAAACATGGATTAAAATTACTATGTACAGTATCTGTGAAGAAAAGAGACCACCTCTTATTTCTTCACCTATATATAGACAGTTTTGTTCAGGGGCTGTGTATATCTGAAATCTCAAATAACCTGGCAGCACTCTGTAGTAAAACTTGGAGGAAAAAATTCAGAATTTCTTAAAATATTAAATTACTTATTAGTAAATAAAAGCATGTAATTTTATATGGCTTCTGATCAAAGTTAATTTTATTTATGTGTATTTGATTTTGGGGGGAAGAAACTTGCTTATAGAATATAGTTTCTTGCTCTATGAGAGTAAAATAAGTTATGTTAACTAATATCTAACAATGTCTCATTTTATTTGAATAAAAATATCTATTTTAGAGCACAGAAATGCCTAAAATAGACACAAAAAATGTCTATTTTGATGCACAGAAAATCCATGTCGTTTGACATGGCCACATGGGGCTGTAAGATTTAAGTTTTTTTACGAGAGCTTCCATTAAAAGCTTGAATATATATCTTAAAATGAGATGACTTCGTATTTTATATGGACATTTGTATAGTTTGTGGAAATTTCCTGGAAAAACTAAAATCTCCAGTTTTTATTTTTTAGAGCCTTGTAATATCTTAAAAAGTGAAATTGGTCAAAGCATGTTTAAACTAGCATATTGTAGTTTGGTTTACAATTTGAAAGCAAATGCTCTTATTAAACATCCAATTGTCTTTCTTAAAATAGCATGAAAATACTTTATGTAGGAAATTTAAGATATACTTAAAGCTGAAGCATTATTTTAGTGATGTTTGGTTTTGTCTCATCTTTTTTTGTGCATCATAGGTTTTATAAGCAAGTGTTTACATTTCAGATATGATATCAGAAACTTGCACTCCTAGTTGTGTAATTTATCAAGGGTGTCTACAAGTATCTGATAAATCATATTTGGTTGGAGGTAATCTGCTGTAATCGCAATACAGAAATCAAGGGGGAAAATGGTCCCAGCAATGAATTATTCTTTCTTTCATTCTTGTTACCTTGAGTCCACCAGTTTTTCTCAAATCCCCTGATTAAGATCACCTGCCCCCCATTTTGCCCCATTCAAAAATATGTCTTTTAACTAAAAATACAGAAAAATATCAAGTAAACAAAATACATCAATAATTTTGGTTCTAGAACTGTAAAAGTTGTTTTTTAAAAATGGTTAAATGGTAGGATTATGAATAAGACACGAATCCACAACTGTCAATTTCCTGTTGTAAAATGTACAAGAGGGCCAAAGGTTTAGAATATTGCTTATTATTCTAGCCTTGGAATTCTTAGTATTATAATAAGATTGGTAATGCTTTCCTTTCCTTATTTCAGTGCATAATAAATTTAATGTTTTCGAAAGTGAATATTTATTTAGGGATAAAATAAAGACTGTGCTTTATGGTTACAGTTTGCATGCTCCTCTGTAAAGAATATAGTGGCTGTCTTCTGTTAGTATAGCTAGTTTTAAATTCAAAAAGTCTATCAAGTTTTTAAAGAAAATGTTAATATATTACACATGGCATATTGTGTTAAAAAGTCTTTCTATGATATTCAAAATGTTTCAGAAACAATGACAAGGTCAGTGTTGCTAGAAAATCAGTGTTTTACTAGAATGCAATGGTTTTAATGGAAATAATAACAACTCACACATTTTAAGGCTTAAAACTGAACTCCTTGATTGTGTTTAGCATATTGGAAGTTACAAGGAGCTCCTATTTTGTAGTTGCTGTAGATTAGATCGGTAAATGAAAATGTCTTTCTGATTTCCTAGAAACACTTTGTTTCTATTTTTTGTGAACATAGATACTTTGGGGACCCGGCCTTGTTATCTCATGACTGTTTTCCAGGCTGTGTTATCATGATGAATGGGTAATTACAGTACAGGGCACCCACACAGGCCACTGCATATGAGACCCTTCATTTAGGACGTTTTTACTTTATAGAGAGATTCTTTATAAGTTATGAAGCTCTTGGGTTAAATTAAATTTCATTTTGTCATACCTAATGTGTTTATTTTCTCTTGTGAAGAAAAAGTCTTCAAACTTCATATGATTTCTTAAATTCAAAAAACACAAGAAGCACAATTCCAATTTCATGAGAATGTATTATTTCTTAGTATCATACATTCATAGATGATAGACTACTTTAATGTGTGTGTTAGCAGTGCTTTGACTTGTTTAAAAATGCCATCATTTAATAATATGAATTTTTCTTGCTAAGAATAAAAATTGACTACACAATATGATAATATTTGTTTCTGATCCAACACACAAAATGAAAGCTTTGCTTATTTATTTGATTAAAATGCAAAAGTGCAAGTACGTTTAGGTTTGTGTTGTATAGAATAGAACTTATTTTATCAATCACTTTCATAACCTTTAAAGAGCCTTAAATAGTACATATGAAAAACACATTCATATCAGGTTCCCCTTGAGGATTTTTTCTTTGGTTTAAGAAAATTTTATTAAAAATCGGCATTGCAAATAACATTTTTCATAACTATATGTAGACCTGTTAAAATTTTTATTAAAACTGGAGTTCGGCCTGTTCTTTTTCATCATTCTATCAGATATTAAACTCCTGCAGCAGCTGTAGGAAATAGAGAAAGGGATTTTCAAAGGGATTTGAGTCTCCCTGTCTCTGTGCCTTTAGTGATCATATTATCATAACTATCACACATAACAAAGCTCTAAATCTGTAATTCAGATAAAGTAGTCAGGACTCTGAAATACAAAAATCCAAACATATGCCGTAACATTTTTTTGCAATGCTGGCTCCTTTAACGTGGATTTTGTAAACTTGGAGAGGTATTCAAGAGCTTTTGTATACGAACACAAACTAAACAACATTGTTAGTGGTATGTTTCACAGAGATTTAATTAGAGGTGTTTTTATACATCCAAGCAGTTCCATTAAAAGACCATGCCTGCATGCTCTAGCAAATTATGATCAAACCTCTAAAGGTTAAAAAGAATGAAATCAGAAGCTTGTTTTGAAGCAAGGTCTACATGAATCTATGTCTAATCCTGCAACAGTCTGAGTTCTTTCTCAAGAGAGCAACATTCCTTAAATGCAGTGCTAAGGGTGGTAAGTGTGACCACATAATTTTTTTATGAATTAAATTAAAAATGAGGGTAATAAAATTGTAAATGGGCTGAAATCCAACTGAAAATTACACAAGAAAGAGTTACACAATGAGTTTTTTCTTCACATTTACAGGACAAATTTATAACTTAATGTCTACATGAAAAGAATATTTGTGCTGTAAAAAGTTGGTAAAACTCTAATCAGAATGTCCAACCAGTTTGTAAATGAGCAGCTGTATGTATATATTTATTGTAACAGTGCCTTCTACTGGTCACACATTATCTATGATGTCAGTGAAATTACTGAAAAGTAATGAAAACTTGTGTTTATCCTAAATTATTCTTGGGTATTTTTATTGCCTTGGCAAAAGTATTTCTGTGAATCACAACTTACATACATAAAAAATATAGTGTGTTAGAGATTAACACATTTGATTTCTGTTGTACTTTAGCAGTAATAGGACCTGTTAAAAAGTTTCTCCTAAAAAGAAAAGCATTTCCTACATACTGCAACTTAAAATGGGGAATATTTCCACCTGTTTATTTTATTGTCTTTCCGATTTTGAAATTGATCTTTTACTTACCAGCATTTTTCTTTTTAGCTTTTCAGTCACACTGTGTCTAATTAAAATGAGTAGATTTCTTACATATTATCAATATCTATAAAATGTGAGAATCATGAAATTTATTTGTAACTTGAGAAATGCAGCAGAATTTGAAATATAACTTAACTAACAAAATATTTAACAATATTTAGTGAGAATGATTTAAGGTTTGTCTAACTATCTAGGTATAACAAAGATGGTTGATTTTAAATTTGCTTAGGAAAAGAATCAAATAATTAAAAAGAGAAGCATGTATAATCATGAAGAAAAGCTGCATTTTTCAGCAAAATATTGACATCAAGTATTTCATTTTCTTAATATATAATAAAGATACCACTGAAATCTCTTTATGAATCTATATGATTTCAGTTTTAATTTTAAATAATATTTAATAAAGTACTTAGATGATTATGAAATAATTGTTTTTCAAAAAAAGCATGTTCCAATTAATTTTATGTAGATATGGTTTACACTGAATGGGCTATCTTGCTGAAATAACATTTTTAAGAAATTCTGAACATGAAATTTTTACTATCTGCAATAAAAAATCTGTGCTGTGGAAAAAATATTTTACTTTTGTTTAAGTCAATAAATATTGCTTTTATTGCCTGAGGCAACATTTTAAAAAACTTTATTATATGCAAATTACAACCTGAATATCTGATAAAATTCATTCTATTTAGTTAGAAATAATTACCTCAATCGAGGCAATCTGTTTATGTTAGAAATAATGTAAATCAGAAGGAATCCTCATGATTGCCCTTATCACAGATCATTGCACGTGTGTGCTCACTAGTGCTTATTAGACTAAAATCAGAGAACTTTCCTGAGGAATACATCACGTCAGGAGCAAATTGTTTCGATGCTCAATTCAAAATTTGGAATCACCTACATGACCATAACATTCAATGGAGAAAACGCAATATTTTAATTTCCCCAAAACTCTTTATTTTAAACAATTGTTTTCTCTAGGAATGAAATGCCATCATTACAAGTCTATCTTAACATTCATGGAGAAAAGATAAGGATTAGGAACACAAGGTACAGTCAGTATTTTTTGAATAGTGTTCCAGTGAGATTTCAATCAGTGCTGAAAAGCATATTTCTTAATGGGGGAAAAAGCTAGAAAAACAGTTGTCAGAGATGAAAGGGTGCTGTTTCAGGTTTGTACACCAACAACTTCATTCCTTCCTGTGTGAGAAAATCCCTCTATTACTTTATAACAATGGCATCCGTTTTGTTTACCTTGCGGCATCCATAACAAGGATAGAGGTGTTCCTCATTAAATTTTGTTGTTTGGAATGAAGTACATAGATCTTTACAAACAAGTGTCTGGTTGCTATTTATCCATGTGTGACTATTTCCATATTATGTGTGTACATTTACACTTGCATAGATGCATCCATGAATAATGAGCCGTGGAAATATGTGCGCAAGGACATAGAAAGAGACAATACATGACAGTGGGCAGTTAATGCACTTTCATTTCCATGAGTTAGGGATAATTGCATAATTCATGAATGGCAGAGAAAAGTCACAAGTGTGAATTGCATATGGGCAACTTAATATATGTCACTACCATGCTAGTTAAAGGATGTGTTTAAACTTGCATCACTAGTAGTTTGGAATCAAATCATTTTAAGTGGCACATCAAGAGGAATTAAAAATCTACTGAAAACAATGTAATTGTTTCCTAATAAGGATAGGATATTTACAATAAGCACATTTTGTTTTTGCTTAATTTGCCTGCAAACTGAGTTTTTGTATCTTGTGTTAAAAATGATTCATTCATATTTTATTTTATGCCAGGTCTTCGTATAAACAAAATTGTGTTCTCATTTTTTTGGAAGTTACATTGTGACATCTTCTAAGTTATTGAATTCACTGAAGACATACAGATCATATTCATACTATGTCTAACACAGACATTGTAATGATGATGTGTATTTCATAAAGAATAGTGATCTTTGCTAGAACTTCAGAATTTTCAACAGTTTTTGAGATATATAATAAATATAATTTTCTATGCATTATTTTTCTTGGTTGGAAGATTTAAACCATAGTACTCAGTAATTAAATATTCATTGAGAACTACTTCCTAGTATTATTTAAATAGTACATTCAAATGAAGTAGTTAAGATGTTCCATGAGAAGAGCAACAGATTAGTAATTTTAAAAGATTTCAGATTCAAAAGTGTTGTCTTGTGGAATAATAACACAGCATTGTTATGGGGTGGGGGTGGCTGCTTGCATATTTACACACTTCTACATATAGTGTATGAGTGCTAAATTTATGTGCCAGTTGATGGATCTAAAATTGTCCCAGAGAGTTACAAATTTTCATAATGATTCTGAGGAGTTAAATTTAACCTAATGCTTTATAATTAAACTCCAATATGCAAGGAGATTTCAATGCCCTGCTCCATCAGCTCCTTGTCTGAGCAACTTCATGAACACAAATTCTTTCAGTTGTTCAGATCATTTCACCTCGCTTCTACCGCAAACGGTGTGTCACTGTATACCTGGGAGGAAGCAAAAACATTTGCTTTACAGCTGTTTTTTCAGAAACATATTTCAAAGACAAAAATGTTTGGTATGTAAAAACCAAACGGACTTCTAATATCCATTATAGTTAATGAAATAGTATATTTCCTCATGTGGGAAGAAAATTACTTTAGATTCAAACCTATGTTAACTTACTTTACACAGTTGTGAAATGTCCTAATATAAAGTATTAAAAGCAGAATATTTTTAATACAATGAACACAATACTGTGCCATTTATGAAATATAGCACAGAATTTCTGTCTCTGCCATTAAAATGCCTACAATTTGTGAACGTCGTAAAGCATACATTTTTCCTCCTATTAACTGGAACAGACTAATTGCACATTTTGAGGGTGGTTGTTGGGAGATTCCATAGGCGATATTATAGTCATTCATGGGCATCAGGCAGGTATTTAACAGTTTGGTTCAGGTTGTCTAGGACAACAAGAATGTTGTTATGCTGCATCTCCAAGCTGCTGGGATGAAATCAGTTGTGACAAAGCAGTGAAGATTAAATTTGTAACAGATACAACACCTTTGAAATACTAGCTTATGATTTCACAGTGGCATTATAAGTCTTACTGCAGTATTTAAGCAGTTAGAAAGAATGCTGGTTATTAGCAGCTGAAATTTGTAAAATAGGATTTTATTGTCTTTAAATAGCCATGGCAGCAGTTTGTATTATCCTAGTACAACATTTTTGTTACTATGTATTAGAGTTGGTGAGTATTTTTCATGCTCCTCTTTTTCCAGGTAAATTCTTTTATCTATCTTTTAAATCCTATGTTAAACAAACATAGAAACGTATACATATGTATTAATATAAACATCTCTATTATGTATTTTAAAATTTAATGCCATTTTGTATGTAAAAGACCAAAGGAAGAAACTTTCTACTTTATTTCTCCCAAATAACATTATAATGATCAGATATCAAATATTCCAGGCCTCACAGAATACTATGTACAAGGCAACTTAAATATATAATACCATAAAGCTGAACTATTCTCTTAATAATCTTGAAAGGACAGCATTAGCTATACGCAAAGCAATTATGCTCTGTTACTAAATCTGATCACATCTAAATTTCCTGTCTTATCATATGTCAGAAAGAGCCTGGCTCCTAAAAATAATGTCTAGAAATCTTGAGGTACGTAATAAACTGCTTCTTGATGGGGAATGTGATCTCCACAGATGTAATATGAGGGAAACATCTAAGGTTCAGGCATACAAATTTGAATACCAAAATTTTATGTAAGTTACTTAATATTGAACTTGTGTTATATCACTTTGTTTTAATGACTACGGAGACTTCAATGGGTTAACTTTGGATGAGGGTCAGGTTTTATATGTTTATATTTTCTTAGCCTTGGTCAGGAGAAGTGGCTTTGCTTGCCCTTGTGCAGTGCCGGAGTGGTAGGGTTTCACTCCGTTTGAAAACCTAGCACATCCCAAGAGGTTACCTTGGTGTAGATTTCTTTCTTTCTGTATTAAATCGCTCATTGTCGCAAAGTGACTAGTGCTGCTGGGCTTTGAAAAGAACTTCTAAGAGGTTAAAAAAAGCTTCTGTATGAAAGGATTTTTTACTTCTGCGGACAGAATACAGTTTGCAGCTGTCTGACTTGCGACAGTGATATGGATCTGATTGTATACAGTATAGCAGGAGCCGTGGATGCAGCTGGAATGGAGGTTATAAATTTTAAAAGCGATGCAGATTTTTGCCATTAATTGGCTGCTAATAAAAGCAAACTCAATGGCTTCTAACTGTGGGAGACTGTGGTTCTGTATCTGATATCAGGAATTCATACACATTACACAGTTTTAGGGATTCAGACCACGACTAATTGAAATACGAGGCATACTGATCAAATTTAGCATTACCAGCATGCACTATGGTTTGGGACTGTATGGCGACAAGGTAGCATTTATTACTTATTCTCCATAACGCTGCTTGATTGAAATATCTAGCTATGTTGTCAGCAGAGGCCCAGCTGGGCTTTAGTACAGCTAATTAAGTCATTAAAAGAGAGGTCAAGCAATCTAACTCTTGCATACTAAAGAACAAAAAAGTCTTTTATTATATTTTTTAATATGTTAAGATTTGAATTTTTAAAGAAATTTCTATTTAATAATAAATGCATTTACTGGTGTATTTATTGAAGTCTTAATTTAAATATATAGAAGTAAGAAATTATGAACTTGTCAATATACAATTTCCAAAGCAGTTTATATGGTTATGTTTTAAAATAAGTATATTGTGTATGTGATTATTGAAAGTTGTTCAATAAGTTAAATACTGATGGAAGGGGTGTAGATTCTGATGATTTTCTACTTATTATTTCAGTTATGGTGGTCTTTAGAAAAAATTTTCAGAGATAAACACTATTAAGTACAGCGTACGTATATTATGATGTATATTATGCGTCCTTCAAATAAAAGCAAATAGATACTATGACATTCCTTGTTTTAATTTTCTTTTGGGTAAAAGTATGAGGTTCTAATTGTTTATTTCTTTGTAATTTATCAAATGCCTCTTCAAATCCCCTTTTCATTTATCTACTTGAGAAAGCACATGAGCTCGTTTGGGCCAAATGAGTCAGTGGAGATGGAAACATTAATGTATTTGAGTGGGCGTGTGTTAATGCTGCTCTAAAATATGTTTTAAAGGTGTGGGGATTACAGACATATTACCTCAAACACTGCTTACTCCATAATGTAAGAATGGTATACTATAATACTTAAAAATATGACAATTTTGCTTTTCTTTATTATGTGAATATGTATGAATAGCTGAATTTACATTTTTTCATAATAGACTCCTGAGGTAAACACTGAACACAGTAGGTGTTCTAGAAATGATTAACCAACAAATGAATGAATATCTTGAATGTACAGTATTTTCTTAATAGTTTGAAGAACAATTTATAGTGTTTGTTTTACATTAATTCTCAGTCATAGGCTCCAAAGCTAGAGTAGAAGATAGATCTTGGTGCTCAGATTTGTTTATTTGATTACTATTATATATATGAATGGATTTGGGGAAATGTTTGGGGGAAGAAAAAAATTATATGTTAAATTAACAATGAAATTAATTTCTGCTTGTTATTCCTGTTTCTCATTTGGCATATATCACAAATAGTAGAATTGGTAGATATTATTAATTTTGGTCTTCTTTTTAAAGTATTTATTGCAATATTAAGAATATTTAATAATCAAGTGAGAGAAGAGTGATTGGAGAAGCTTGAAAAAGAATGGGCAAAACGATACAAAATAGTTCAAATTACAAGTGCTGTCTTGGTTAGAAATGGTTTGAAATATCAAATGAGGTCTGCTTTAGAAAAATCCTAGAAAAGAACTATAAAGAGATGTAGGTCTTATTCCAGATTTCATATCTGTTGAGTATCCGCTTTCAGCATGCGATTGACATGGAACAACTGTTACTAATTTTTACACTTTTATTGTAGTAGAGCATGCATATCTAAATAAGCTACTGCTATTTTGGCAGGAACTGTACATTTTCAAGTAAAATGTGGATTGACATCAAAATATGGTTATGGTAATGGCTTTTCAGAGATTGGGGCACTTCGAACTATAAATATAACTAGTTGTTCTCTAGCCGTTATTGCTTAAAAGCCTTTGGATGTAAAATTATGCATATAATAAATTGTAAATTTATTTGTCCCAGATGCAGATTTCCTTGCTAATACATCTAATTCTCTTGGAGAGTCATTGTTATTCATACATAATGGAGAGCCTAATACAATACCATGAAGATTGGGCATTGGAGCACCTGTTGCTGAGTGTGGAATATAGGAAGGGACATATTCATAAATCAAGTAATGAAAACAGTCCTTTCCTGAGATCACTGTATAAGTTCTATTCAAGGAGATTCTAGTGGTGAATGCCCTAAAAACTAGTTTGTGTCTACTGCATTACTGCTTATTCAGTCCACATCCTATGTCTTCTTTTCTAGAGAAGTTGAAAACCATGCCTTCCTCAGAATCATACTAACAATTACAGAAATAGTTTATTTTGGTTCAAAGCTAATATCAGAAATTTATTCTTTGTATCAAAAAATAATTTTCAACATCTAGTAAAAGTAGCTTTTCCCATAGTAGGCTTTGTTAGTAATAATAAATCTTACATGAGCCATTTAAGAGGCACATTTAATTAGACACATGATCATCAGACTAAAGAATGATCATATTATTTAAAGGATAACCCTCACTGTGCTCAGCTAAAAGGAGGTCCTGCAAAGGAGTGATGGACAAATTCCTTGTCAACTCTTCCAGACAGGCTCTCATTCATATACAAGACCTATATCAATGGCGTATTACCCTGAGAGGCTGCCTCTCAGGCCACCACTTACTGGGAGTTTGTGGATGAGGATACACTTTAATCAGAGACGTAAAGTTACCAATCTTCATAGATGAGTTGGAACTCAAATGAAGGTTTCACCTGTCTCCCAAAACATGCTCAAAAGCGTTATTGTTAACATTGTTTAAAACTGGACTCAAGAGGTAAATGTTTTTAAGACATTTCTACCTCTCTGGAAAAAATGTTGACTTTTTTTTCAAAACTTTAATACATACTATTTTGTTAGGTAAGTATTTAAAATAGATATCTTAAAGTATAATAAAATATATATATATATATAAGTAGATATCTCATTTTTCAGGATTCAGAAAGTTTTAAATCTCTTAGCTTACATTTATTGTAAGGACCATGGGTATGGAATATGACTGAAGACCAAAAGTTTGGTCTCAAAATAATTCTAGCTCAATTTTAAAATCAGAAGTTATGGAAGGTTTTGGGGTAAGCCCGAGAATCTCTGGGCACCTGTCCAAAATGAACCTCTAAGTCTTTTGAAGTCTACCCATCACTAATATACACAGCACAGTCTAATCCAGCTGTCTGCCCCTTTTCCTGTTTCCCTTTCTCTTTTTTCAGTCTGTCCTGAGGTACCAATAGCTACATACTGTGGGAGATGTTTAGTAGAATGAATATTGCCTCTTGGAAGTGTTCCCACACAGTGAAGCTAGGGTTTTGTTTGGGGGAGGTGGTGGGGAGAACAGGTAATACTTCAGTCATTTGTCTTTCTGGTTGACATGCATTTACACCATAATAATTCCTACCTACCTTTAAAATTACAAACTATTTATCTATCAGTAATAACAATAATATCTTTGCAGATTTGTTTTCTGTTTCAACAAAAGATCATACAATTTTAAAGAGCAGTACTGATTCACAGATGAAAGTAAACAAAATATAATTTTAGAAAATCAAATTAATGAACACCTTTTGATACTATAAGACTTTATATTATATACTATTAAAGTTTTTGAGTGGGTTAAGTCAGTGGAATTTTTAATTAATTAATTTTTTTACATTTTACAGTTGACTGGTTAATGACATTATAATTTAATACGTATTTATTTTAGATTTTTAAAAAATATTTTTTGGTTCGGGATGGATTTTTAGATAAAGATAGAAAAAAATAACATTAAAGCAAAGTAAAATCTAAGCATAGTTTCTAAGAAATCTTTGTAAAATACACATTGAAAACTTCAGATTGTAGTTAGAAAATATTTCTACTAACCAAGATACTTAAAATAGCATGTGTTTTTAGAATCTCTCCTTTCTTGGTCATTTTCTACTGTTCATAATTGGATATTCATTTATAAAAATTCATTCTATTGAAGTCTTTCTAAAAAGGAAATTCTTCAAATATTTCTAAGCATGTCTTCCAAAAACAGTAGCAGAGTCAATTTAGAGAATTTTATGTTGTTACCACAGAACCCCACACAAGTTAACCAAAAACACAGGGCAAGAGCAAAGAAGCCAGTTCCTTCATTGCTCTGATCTATGTAATAGAGATTCATTTTATATAAATAAAAGACTGGCACATTGCAGGTCAGAGAAACTATGACTCTGAAAAAGACCGCATGTTCAGGTAAAGAAAACAATGGAGATTTTCCTTTTTTTCACTACTCACCATGCCCTTCTTGTTTTTCTCTTCTTCTTTGTGGTTAAAATCATGAAAGCATTGAGCAAGTCTTGTGTGTAGATTACTGTAGCAAAAAGTGTGAAAGGCTGTTGATAGAAAAAAGGGATAGTCACAATCTTAAAAATAAACAGACCAGCCAAACACACAAAAGTCAGCACCATTTGGAAATCTAAGTTCTTATATGAGCCCTGCCCTATGAAATTAGGCACATTACTAAACATTTCACATCTATATCTATCTATCTTCTATTCCTTTCTCTCTCTCTCTCTGTCTCTCTCTCTCATAAAATAGTAATAGAATAGTAACCCAATTACCTTTTGGGCTTGTTGGGAGGATGAGATCGGAAAATGTCTGATAAAGAACATAAAATTTATGTTTCATTGACAATTCCAATAGGGGTTTGTAGGGAGATTACAAGCAAATTCTAAAATTTTTATGGAGGAAAAAGGACAAAGAATAACCGAAACAACTTTCTGAAGATGAAGAATAAGGAAGCATTAGTGACTTTAGGTTATAGTAATCAAGGTTAAGTGTTACAGAAATAGAGGTAGACAAATAGACTAGAATGGAGACTCCTGATAAAGAATTCTTCATAAATGAAAACTGGAACAGATACATGGGTGTGTTGGGAAACTACTCAACAAATGATACTAGGACAGTAGTTTAGACACATGGAAAAAAATCCACATACAATCCTAGATAAATAAAATATCTTGGTGTGAAAACCAAAAGTTTAAAGTGTTCAGAGTAAATATAAGAGAAAATATAATATCAGAATATGAGGGCAGAAGAACATTTCTTTCTTTTCTTTCTTGCTTTCTTTCTTTTTTTTTGAGATAGGGTCTTGCTCTGTCACCCAGGCTAGAGTACAGTGACGTTTGAGTATGCCTCACTATAATCTCAAACTCCTGAACTCAAGCGATCCTCCTGCCTCAGCCTCTCAAGTAGCTGGGACTGTGGGAAAGTGCCACTGTGCCCAGCTAATTAATTTTTTATTTTTTTTGAGAGAGAGAGGGTTTGCTATGTTGCACAGCCTGGTCTCAAACTCCTGGCCTCAAACTCCTGGCCTCAAGTGATCCTCATGCCTCGGCCTCCCTGGCCCTGCATCTGGCTCTTAGAAGAGCATTTCTTAAAACCAAAAAAACCCACACATCATGAAGAAAAACACTGAGATATTTAATTATTTCAAAATAATAAAAATCTCTGTATATAAAAAAGTTATATAAAAATAGGAAAATATAAAGTAAAACTATCCCAGATATTTGGGATGCATATAAGTGATAAAGAATTAATGTACAACAAATGAAGGATTTCTACAGATTGAGAAGAAAAGGATATATGAACCAATAAAATAGGTAAAGGATATGAACAGGGACTTCACAGAAGAGGCAAACTAATATAGCAAGTAAACAGATCAAGAGATGCTTAGAACCATGAAATTTATATTAAGCAATGATAAGATATTATTTTACATCTATTGGGTTGGCAGAAATTGAAAGTCTGGAAAATATCAAGTGTTGCTGAGTATGTGGAGCAGTGGGAACTTTCATGCACTGCTTGTGTGAATATAATTTGGTGCAATAACCTTAGGGAATATTTTAGCATTCTAGTAAATTGTAGAAGGCACATATTCTAAGTCACATTCCAGGAAAGGTTAGAAAATGGAGATGATGATTAGTGGATAAAAGAAATACTCTATCCTGGCTGTTCTATACAAGGCAATAAAGAAAGATACTAAATGAAGTAGAGGCATATGTATCAACAGGTATACATCTAGAAAACCCAATGATAAGTGAAAATGTAAGATGCATAATCATACAGAGAATGATATCATTTACAAAATTTAAAACATACTGTATACTGTTTTTAGATAAATATATACTTAGTAAAACATATACATGTGAAATATACATGCCAATTTCAGGATATTGGTCAAGTCTGTAGAGGGAAGAAAAGAGAAATGTGGCCTGGGGTGGGTTCAAAGGGGATTCGACTCTACTTGTAATATTTCCTCTTTTAAAAATGAAAACACAGCAACATGTTAAGAGTTCGTGAAGCTCATCATATTCTATGCATTTTTTGTTTGCTTGAAATATTTAAATTTTCAAAAATTTTTTAGTCAACCATTAGATTTTCATGTTTATTAAAAATTACTAAACATTAAATTTTGTAAACTTGTAATCAAATGGATTATGCAGTATTAAGAAGTTGAGGTTATTAAAATTTAGAGGCTGAGAGGAGCAGCCCAGCAGAGGTGGAATCAGACCCCCAGGAAGGGGACCCTGGACGACTGGAGTGATGTTTCTGAGGGGGAATCATGAGGCTGGAATGGGAATATGAGAACCACAAATGGGAGTCGCTTGCTACTACTGGAATAAACAGCCACTACCAGGTTGAAGCAACATTTCTGAGGTCATCCTAGAGAAACAGGAAGGACCCAGTGCCTTCTCCTGTCTTTCAGCCTCCCTCTGGTGCCCCCTAACGTCAGAGCATAACAGGGAGCAGCTGGCAAAGCAGAAATAAGTCTTAAGAGTTTTCAGAATCACACCCTAGAATCACAAAACAGAGTAGAGAGCATGGTTTTAAAGCTGAGTACCTTAGTAACTTAGTATATTTCTCAGTCACTTCACAGAACCTCCTGTCTATCCCAACCTCCAGAATATCACTTCATAATGGTAAAGAATAGAGGATGCTTGTTCTTCCACGAGCCATCTAATATGGTTCTGCAAGAAGTCAGCATTCTTCTAGCCTCTTCCTGCTGCTTCCTTGCAGGCAATTTCACTTCTACCCCATGTAAGCGCGTGTTTATTAATAAACCCTTTATTTTATTTTGTTTAGGTCTTCCACACATTTCATTCCCCACCCCACAAAAACTTTGGCAAGTAACTCAGCCTTTCTCTGTACTTCAACCCCTGCCATGATCTGGAGGGATAACAGTGTCTATGTGAAAGCCCATGAGAGACCCAGCTTCTCAGCTCCTCCATCTCGTGGACTCCAACTCCTCCAATCCAGCTTCACAAAAGCAACCCAGCTCTGTGGTCTCACGTTTGATTTTGTGATTCCTGAACACCCTCCTATTGTCAAATATTCATTACATGTTCTCTGCTTTTTTAGAATAACTACATGATCTTTTATCTCTCGCAGACTCTTTCTTCTATTTAGCTTGTTTTCTTACTCCATGAAATCACTACTGTCTTCCTCTAACTCTTCACTTTTCTCCATGTCTACCTATGCTTCTCTGGGTTTACTATTTTCCTTACTTGCCTTAGACCATAAGAACAGCACTTTAATGATATTGTTATAGTTACCTTTGCTTCCTCTCCTCTGCCTTACTCTCTCATTATAGATGTAGATCAGCACTCCTGGATTTTTAGTGAAGAGATCTAGATTCTTTGCTCCCGCACCAGGAAGGCTGCTGGGCCACTCCAGATTCTACCTTTTTCAGCCAAGAGTCTTGAAAGTATAGTCTGCCTTTGCTATTTCCACGTCTTCATCTCTACCCACTGCAGTCTATCTATTGCTTTGCTGAATCTGCCTTTGTTTAAGGTTAAAGATGGCATTATAATTTTAGAATCAGTGAAAAGTTTTCAATATTTATCATACTTAGTCTCTTAAGATTTTGAAGACTGTTGAGTTTTCCCTCCTTCAAACTCTATCCACATATCTGTGATATGATTTCTTCAGATCTTCTCCCTACATCCTGCTCTTCCTTTTCAGCACACTTTTCAAGTTTTTAGTTTTTAGCCTGCATCTTAAATATTGGCATTTTATGGCTCTTTTTCATCTTGTATGCTTTACTACTGAGTGTTACCTTTCATGCCTGTAGTTTCTGTAACCACAAACACACAATTGATGCCTCTTCTATCTCTCCTAGCTCCAACCCTCTACACTAATATCTTAAAGCACTTAAAATATAGCTGTCATCTTCCTGTCTCCTGACCTATCCCACTCAGTCTCTTATTGCTGTCCACTCAGTTTATCAAGCCAGGAATATGGGTATTGGATTAAATTTCAACCTTTCCCTCTCCCTCATTCTGCATATTTATTTATTTTTGAGACAGGCTCTTGATCTGTTGCCCAGGAGTGCAGTGGCATGATCTTGGCTCACTGCAACCTCCACGTCCCGGGTTCAAGTGATTGTCCTGCTTCAGCCTCCCAAGTAGCTGGGACTACAGGCATGTGCCACCACGCCCAGCTAAGTTTTGTATTTTCAGTACAGATGGGGTTTCACCATGTTGGACACTCATTGGAATTGGGGCAAGTGCCATCAAAGTTATCTCCCCACCTTGATCCTCATGCTTTTCTAATATATCCTCTATACAGTCATGAAAGGGATATTTTAAAAACCAGAATCTAACCTTCTCGCTTTCTTGCCTGATGACTTCTTATAGTTGTTCATTGCCTACAGAATAAATATCTACTTCCTCGATAAGGTGCCCAGGTCTCTTTGGAATCTGACCCCTGCCTCATCTGTCTTTCTTTCCCATGCTGGGTCTATATTGCTGCTATTCTGAACCTCTTACAAATCTCTAAGCATATTCTGTATTTTCACATTTCTCTGTGTTTGCACATGATACTCCCTTCATCTGGAATAACTTCTTCCTCCTCCCTCTTCATCCTACTTAGTCTCTTTGGCAGCTTTAAACTTTTCTTCTCAACATATAAGTCTCAGACTAAGCATTTTCTTCTCTGTGAAGCTTCTGGAGGCATCGTGTTTAACAATGAGAACATGGGCTTTGGTGATATCCATACATGGGCTTTAAACCTGGCTGTACCCTGATATAGCTGTGTAAGTAATCTTGATGAGCCTTGACAATGTGATGATAATATAAATCTCACAGATTTAATAGGTGGGATTACTTGCAATAAATGATAAAAGAGTAAATGAGATAAAATGAGATGAAATATCCTGTCCAGTGCCAGGCAACATGGTAGACATTCAATCAGTGGTTGCTATCATTATTATGCCTGTAAATATTAATGTTAAGAATGATACTAGTAATAGTAATATTCCAGGTACTCTAATGCAAAATTAGATACTTTGCCTTATAGATCCCAAATAGAGCTATGTAGGACATATTCATTTTGTACGTCGCTCTTCACCATAAGACTGTGAACTCCTTTGAAACAGTGACCTCATTGTTATGAATTAGTTTGAATATGCCCAACTTCATTGCTAAGAGGACTTGAAACACTTTATAAAAAGAGATTTATAACAATAAAGTGTATAGGTATTAAAATTGTAACAAAAGGAAAATATGGATAAAAACCGAGAGTAAGTGAATTCATAAAAATTTGTGCCATGTAGTCTTGTGCAGTTTCTAGGATAGATAAATGATTTGCCTTTGAGCTTCCTAGTGGCCAAGACAAAGTGGGAAACAAAACTTACAGCATCTACAAGGTAAAAATCAACCAACTACTAAGGATAAGCATAACTCTTCCTGGAACTGTGTCTTTTGAGAGACTTATTAGATGCATTAATCACAAAGTGACACTATGGTGTACTTTGAAGACTTGCTACTCAAATTATGGTTCTTGGACCAATTTCACTTGGGAGCTTGTTAGACATGTGGAATCTCAGCCTTCACCCAAACCTACTAAAGTCAAATCCACATTTGAACAATATCCCCAGGTGATTTGTATGCACATTAAATTTTGAGAAAAGCTTCTGTAGAGGACGATGTTTGCAATAATTTCACTCAAATACATTTGTGAGCTTTATATGATGGTTTCTTTATATGTTTAAGTTTTGGATTTTAAATTCCAAATATACAAAAAAGTATTATAGAAAATACAATTCAGTTTCCAGATTTAACATATTTTTAATATTATTCCAAGTATTTTTAACAGTATTCCAAGTATGTTTCAAATCTCTCCTTTAATAAAGAAATAAAACATAGACACAGTTATATATTTTCTCCTGTCACCGTCTCTTGCCTCCCTTCTTGGAGGTAATTATTCTTGTATGACTGGGGAGCATTGTTCCCACATAGGTTTTTTTTAGTTTTACCACTTATGGATATATTCATAGAATACCATTATTTAAGTAATTGTTTCTAATGAAGATTTTCAACCTTCAGTGAAAATCTAGGGCAGAACAGGAAAAGATACCTCAGGTACAGCAATTAATACAAAGCATGGAATCTGTGTGAGAAACATGCTCATATTTCATATGGTTTGGCTTAATCCAAGGAAAGAATTTAGATATTAGAACTATAAGAATGGGTGAAAAAAATGGGTTTGCATTATATTGCTCTGGTAATGCTCCACAATTAGAACTGAACATGGGAGAATTCAGTTTTATATTTAGTGGTTGCAATAATGGAGCAAAATGACAGTACTAATGTGTCAGTATTAAATTCCAATGCTTTTGTTCCCCTTTTCTTTTTTAAGGAAGAGATGATTATCGTTTTTATATACTTTTTCTTTAGATGCTGCTCCAGTTGAGAGAGACAGAGAAAATGCCAGGTCTGAGAGCCCACTGAGCTGGAGGAAAAGGTTCTGGATAAAATATATTATCCTAGGGAAAAGAGGCAAAGGCCTAAGAGAAGGAATTGGTCCTGGAAGAAATAAGGGCAAAGAGAGAGAAAGGAAACCAGATCAAGGGACGGGCAGGAAATTGGGCCTGCTAATGACCCACTCACTTTGTCCTCTACTTACGTCCTTTAGTTTCCCTTTCCTATTATTCTCCTCTTCTCCTGAAAAATTTCACTCCCTTCCTCCAATTCTACAATGACTCCATCAGGACCTTTGGGAAGTTCATAGGTGCCCAAACTGGTTTTGGAGAAAATACAAATAACTAATAAACATAGAAAACAAGTTCAAATTTACTAGCAAGTTAAGAAAAAATAATTAAAATGGCAATAAAACTCTTGGAATGGTCTCAAACCTACAGGGAAGTGGTTGGAATCCTTTTTAAATGAGTGGAACTTTGTTAGACTCTAAGGAGATTTTATTCTCTAGGTATATCTTAAGCAAAAATTATTCTGATTTGGGGCAATTTTTAAATACCAAAAGTAACACTCCTGCACACACACACACACGCACACAAAATCAGCATTTTGGCAGGCACTGAAAAACAGCAGAATCCCAGACTTCTGAAAATTGATGATGAAATCACTAGTTATATTCTCCAGTAAGAACCTGGAATGCTGATATTTATAGTACATGCAAAGGCAGAGTCGTTTCTACAGAGGGCATATATTCAGGATTTCAAAAGCATCATGAAAATTGTACATTTACTCATTATAAAATTGTACAGGGGAACAAAAATGTAAATATTAAAATTTGATGTGGTGGCTCACGCCTTAATCCCAGCACTTTGGGACGCCAAAGCGGGCAGATCGCCTGAGGTCAGGAGTTCGAGACCAGCCTGACCAACATGGTGAAACCCAGTCTCTAAAAATACAAAATTACCTGGGCGTGGTGGTGCCTGTAATCCCAGCTACTTGGGAGGCTGAGGCAAGAGAATTGCTTGAACCCGGGAGGCGGAGTTTGCAGTGAGCCAAGATTGCACCATTTCACTCCAGTCTGGGCAACAAGAGTGAAACTCCGTCTCCGTCTCAAAAACAAAAACAAAAAAAAGTGGCTGGTATAATTTATATTGTGCACATTATGTGTTATCTTCTGCTAATCTTTATCTGCAAGGTTTTGCTAATCAAGTCTGTCTTGCTGTGGAAGGCAATATAGGAATTTGGTGGTGATAATGATAAGAGAGTGGTCCATCAGATATCTTAGGTAGAAAAATGCTTTGGGCCTCTAGACTAGATGTTTGCTAGGATCCTGCTTCGCTTGAATATTCCGCATGTATTTCTCAAGGAGAACATTTGATAGAGTTGCCCACATTCTTGTCTATAAATGCTTCCCTACATGTAGTCATAGTGAGATGTTACCCAAGGGATACTTGTGTCAAGGTGGAAGCTGAAATAAACTGACCTGTGAGATTTTATTATTATTCTTAATTTTTATTACTTTGTTTTTCAGAGTTTATTTTTCACATGTTTTTGCTTTTCAGAGTCGTTATTTTTGACAGTCTTTATTTTGGGTTATTTCTATTTACCCAAGGGTAAAGGTTAGGCATTTCAGGGTTTTGCTACATTCTCTTCATCTCCCTCTTTTTAACCAATATTCTGCAGGCCCTTCCTAAAAAAATGAAAGTAAATACTGTAAGGGAAATAAAACGTAGAAAATATTTAGGATTTTTATGCTGTGGAAATGATGCTAACTTTCTCACTTGAAATATATTTCTTAAGGAGAGAGGACTATTTCCACATGGATCCCAAGAGGATCCCTTCTAGTCCATTTGGTAGAGTGTACTCCTTTTTGATGTAATGTCTATGTGATATAGAAAAGTCACAACTTGTCCTAAGCTGCATTTAGGCTTTAAATCTCTCTTTAAAAGCTGTTTATTTTTTATTAAGCCTCTTCTTTTTAACTCAGGTGGTGTATTTATGTTTAGAAATGTATAACTTTGGCTTGCTTGGCTATTTTCCCCTCATGCAGATTTTATGCTGGTAAATGTGCACTGAAGGACATTTGTATAATTACTTGTTTAATCTGGAAGCTCAGTGCACTTTGTATGCTGCACAGCACAGTCCCAAGCTCAGGTATTAATAGTGTTTTTTGATGAGCTGATGAGGTTGATATTGATGGCAATGAAATGAAGATGAGAATAAAATTAGTATAGTGAGGTTTAGGAACAGAGCAGAAGTATGTTTTCGTCCTTACATAGAGAATTTTGCTGGAAAAGATAAGTCTCATGCTTGTGCAGAAATAGAATATGTCTATGGCATTCATAGCTATAAATATACTCATGGCTACTTGCTTGTTGACTTAAAGCAGGCATAGATTTGATTCTAGATGCTACTTTTCTAGTTATTTGCTTTTATAAGACACAAGAGAAAATAATATTTCTGTATTATTTAGTAGGTTAAACATGAAATAATTCTTATAATTTATAGTTTACAGGAAACCACTAGAGATTATTTAGCTCTGTTTTTAGATGGACCACTGTTATACTGTTCTGAACAGAAGACAATATATTTTGTTTTAAAAAATGTACCATGAATGTTACTTTCAGCCATTTCAGGATACAAATAGTACCAAATAATGCCCTTGATTCTAGTGTTCAAATTGGCATACAATTTACTATAAATATTTATGTAGTTCTTAAAGTATTTTAATGTTACTCTTTTCCCCTAAAAGAGTACAATGAAAACCTTTAGTTGTCACTGCTATTTATGAGTAGTTAATATGCTTTGAGACTTTTTTCTTTAAGTTCTTACAGCAACCCGTGAGGTAGGTGTTTTATCTCTTTGTTTCTAGATGAGGAAATCAAGTTATAGAGAGCTTAAGCAACTTTCCTCAGCTCAGTGGTTTTAAGTGCTGGGAGACAAAAGAATGCTCTTAATCATGACTCTTTTCCATGGTAGAACATTAGTTTCACAAGATTTTAGTAGCGTTACTTGAAACAAAAGTCTTCTAGTCAAATAAGTGTTTAAAACAAAACTAGGTAAGTGAAATGATAACAGGTTTGTTAATTATTCCAAAGAGCATTATAGCTATGATATCATGATATTTATAGTGGGACACTGAGGTGACTATAGTTGGCCAAAATTTGCAAAATTAACTTTATTGCTCAAAGATGAATTCATTAGCCTTTCTTGGACACTACCTCATTGAAATTACTCTCCTTTAAGTATTAATGATAGTCGAGTATCTACTCTGTGCTGGGTACTATGCTAGGCACGTTAACAGCTTTAATTTTCAGAGCATTGTTACCTATAAGCTTTCTGAAGGCAGGAACTATGTCTGTCTTATTCACAACTATGTGCCCTGAGTTAATAGTGGGACAAATCATTATTATAATATTTTAATGGATGGGAAAACTGAGGCCAAGAAGTTTCAGTTGCTTACTGATGTTATAGACAAGTAAGAAATAAAGTGGAGATTTAATTCCAATTCATCTGACTTAAGACTAGTAGTCTAGGCAGGATTCTAGATCCCTTAGAATGGTCTATGAGGCCTTTTATGATGCCTGCCTGCTCCTCTAGTGGGGCTTCTTTCTATGCGTCCATAGAAATGGAAATGGAAATGCTGTGCCCTGTTTCTGGAATTTTCTTTTTCACTTTTTGCCTTTGAAACATTGCTAATGCATTGTCTTCTATGTAAAGACTTCTCTAACCCCTATTCATATCTCCATCCCTGACAGTATTAATCAAATCCTTCTTTGTGCTACTTCTGAATTGCAGATATAATATTATATTGTAATTTTTATTTCTATTCTTACTTCCTACAAGTCAATGAGTTACTTTAGGTCAAGGGCCATGCTTTCTTTCTTTTGTTCTGCATGGTCTAGGTGAGGGGCTAGATATTATGTGTCTCATACATTTGGAATGAGTGAACAAAGGGGTGTCATCTATTACTTAAATATCCTGGGTCTCAAGTAAGCATTTGGCAACTGATGGATGGCAATCAATTCTTGGTTGAATTCTCTAATGGACATTTGAAGAGATGGCTCTTCCACGTTGGTGATTAAAGATGGGTTTGTGTATTTTAGATTCCACAGGGTCAAAAGGTAGTTAACATTCTGTTGTGAAATTCTTAGAGCCTGGCTTGAGAAATCAACCCAGACAGAGAACAGTCCACCGTGGTACTTGCTTTCTCATATAATGGGAGCTAGGTTTATAAGAAATGTTTCAAGCCAAAAAAAGAAAGAAAAAACAAAAAACAAAACAGAATTTGAAGATCTCTTAAAGCCTAGCATTGGAAGTTACTATATGCTTCTGCCACATTCTATTCTCAAAATGAGTCATAGAGTCAGCCATATGCAATGTGGAAGGGGTTTACACTCTTATATGGTTTTTTGAGGGGTCCCTCTTCCACTTTGAGGGAATACCTGCTATTGAGTCACTTAGAATTCATTCGTGTACACCACGTAGCCATGTGATCTTTTCATAGGAGAATTTAGCATAGGCTTGCTTCCTGAGACAACATTGAGTACTTGGTTTATTGTTATGATCATTATAGCTCTGGTTCTCTTAGAGTAGTGGAGCAGGCAAAAGATTAATATAGGTTAATAAAAATGTGTGTGTGTGTGTGTGTGTGTGTGTGTTCCTTTTGAACAACTGGGATAGTAGTGCCATGGGAGCTGATGTGAATTTGAGAGTGAAGGGCATCACACAGAAGGAGTTTAACAAGGAAGAACAGATCCATGAGAGCCAGGAAAGGAAACATCAGGAGAATGGCCCCAAAAGTTGATGGAGAAAATCTGTCCCAGAAACTTGTTTCCAAAGGGAACATATCTTAGAAAACAAAAAAGTAGAGATGTGTCAGTCCAATCTAGGAATGAGATGCAGTTAAGGGATTTGGCTGTTGAAAGGTCATTAATAACCCCAGAGAGAGCAGTTTCTTTAGAGTTATAGGGAGTGGAATCTGGAATATAATGGATCATAGCAGTTGTTCTCAAGCTTTAGTTTCTGTGAGTAACCTAAGAGGCTTGTCAAAACAGAAAAAGATCTGATCTGGTAGGTCTGAAATGAGGCGCAAATATCTTCATGTTTAACAAGCATCTCAAAATAGTGTGAGGCAAACCCCATTTTGAGAAATCCTAGATTACAGAGAAAATGAGAAGCTAAGTAACAAAGATAACTACCTCACACCATGTTGTCAACCAGCTTCTTGGCAAAAGATAGGGTGAGAGCTTAGGGAACAGAACAGAGGAAAATGTTGTTTTGGTTTTTTAGGAATGAGTATATTTGAGTAAATTTATAGGCAAAGAAGAGTTGAATGGAAAAAAAAATTTATAAATGAGAAAATGGAACAGCAAATTCCAAGTGGAGTTGGGAAGATATATAATCAGATATATATTCTGGAGCCCCTGCTTGTCCCAGCCTGCTTGTCCCACCGCACAGTAGCAATCCCATTATCTACATGCTCAGGCTTCTCAGTCTTGGAACCAGTGAGAAAGCAGTTTGGTGGGTTATTATTGGCTTCTTTCTCATGAACATATGACATATGGAGCCAGTTTAGTTGGTGAGGTTTGCCAGTGTCTAATGAGGAGAACAAAGAACCATGTATTAAGAAGAACATCATTTTGTAGATTAGTTTCCATTTTTCCTTAAACTTCTAGGATTGCTAGTCTATTGGCTCAGCAACTTAGGTCTGCAGAGTCTTTTATTTATGTTTTCTTTCTGCTGGCTCTTGGTTTTGCGAATAATTAGAACCTAGACTAGGACTAGAGAGGTAGGCTCAGAGTGGGATGAGTTGCCCTGATTTCTTCCCACTTTTTTCTGTTCCTTACTCCTGCATTGTGCTTTAGAGTGAACCATCTGCACCTGAATCACTCGGGGGTGGCTGTAAATAGTCGATGTTCCTGGGCCCTGCCATAGATCTTCTTGATCAGTATGTCTGGTTGTAGGGCCAGGAAAAATGTATTTTAACAAATTCCCTGGGTGACTCCTGTGCATGTTAAAGTGAAGAACACTAAACTGGACAATACCTCTGGAAAGAGCCTGATACTGCTTTTACAAATTTTCCTTTTGACCACAAAACTGTACTGGATCATTAGCACAGACACTTAGACTCCAGTTAATCCCTGGATAAAAAATCTTGAATAGCAAGATTGTCCTAGATTGGCCTGGAGTTGGCTAAGTTGTCTTGAGCTTCATAATAAATGACATCTGAGGCCTCTCTGGGGTGAAGGGAGGATGAAGTTAGCAGGGCAGCCTTTCGATTACAGTTACTTTGCCGGGGTCTCCAACTTGATGTATTTTGGCTCATTCCTTATGAGTGTCTTCTAGTTCACATGGGGAGTCATCAGAATGCTCTGGGTCTACCCCATACTGGCTTTGGGAAAAAATTATAGTACTTTCTCTGAGGAAAGAGAGTGAAGATATTAAAGTGGTAATACTATAGACAATATATTAGTTCCTCTTCTTTCCAGCCAAGCTAGATGTTCATGTGCATCTACGCTCATTCTTTTCTCATTTCCTCTCTTTAAAATGGAAGAAGTGACACTGCCTGCTCCCTTCACGACACCAGTGCCCTAGATCCCATTGCTTCCTACTCTCTAAGTGACTGTGACTTATTGGTCATCCCCATATCCTGGATTATCAATTTCTTCTTCTCATTGGCTCCTTTTCCTCCAATTTTTACCATGCTGAAACCTTCCTCATCATTTCTGAAACCAAATTCCTCCATCACCCCTCCTCTATCTCTCTTTTCCTTAATGGTACAATGTAATACAAGCATTATCTACACTCTTGTCTCATTTACTCATTCTTCACATTTTTCCTGACCCACTATAATTTGATTTCCAGGCAACCATACCATTGACACTGTTTTGCCAGTCACCAAAGGTTTCTTCATGCTAAATCCAATAGACACATCTCAGTCATTATATTATTTGTTATCTTGGCAGCATGTGATAATATTGACCTTTTCATCTGCCCTGAAATACTTACTTCTTACTTAAGCGTCAGGCTTGGCTCTCCCCCATATGCCATTTTACTTCTTATTCTGGCCGCAGGACACATAGGTCAGTGCTTTCAGTGGCACTGGCAGTTTTTTTCATCTGGGCCATCACATAAGCACTTGCATCTCTCTAGAACTCTTTCTTCCCTCCTCACTGTGATGACTCTAATCTATTCTCTAATTCTTCCCTTCCACATCCCTTTCTCTGTTTTGTCAAGTCTGGGAAAGTTGTTACTCCCATTTATTCCCTCAAAACTCCTTACATGACATTTTTTCACTGTATCTTTATTACCTGTTTGTCTAAATTTCTCACTAAAGTATCAACTACATAAGGCTAAGGCTTTTGTCAATTGTTTTACTGATTTATCTCCAGGGTCCCATAGCCTCCAATAGCAACTGGCATAAAGATCAGATAGGAGCATAATCAATCTTGATTCCATAAATGAGTAGAAATACAGACACACAAACCTGTATGCACATGCTTCTGCACGCACATGCACTCTCTGTGGCCTGATGGATCCGGTGGGAAATCTAATGGAGTATATGATAACATTTCATCTCTAGGGCAGAATTTCTAATTGGAAAGAGAGGTTTACAAAATATTGTGATAAAGGACAGCAAATGCTTGGAGTAAAAAGGGTTGTAGAAAGAATACACATTTTTTATGCAGCTTAAAAAAGGGTGATAGAACATTCAGCTGAGATGGGCAGCACATAGAGAAACCAAATATTTCAAAACTTAACCCTGAAGGATGATGCAAGTTTTAATAGGGAGATTTAGGAAGAGGGTGTTTTCTGAGAGTGGCAATAGTGGAGTGGAAAAGCACAGGGAAAAACTGGGAGAGAGTGACAAGCTAGTTATTCAGCTGGAGCAAATAGATTCTTGTGGTCAAGAGTTGAGAAAAGCCTGAGAAGGTTGGCATGTTGTGGAAGCTCATAAAGGGAAAAAATAGAGTTTAAACTTTCTTCTTTAGTAAGTGGGAAACCACAAAAAGATTGAATTTCGCACTTTTCCCCACATGCTGGCATAAAATATAAAATTATTAAAATATTTGCTTTTTCCCTTTAACATGCAGTTATTAGTGTAATCAGCTTCAGGTAATACCTGAGCACCAACCCTAGCAGGGAGTGTGAATCTCAGAGCTCTCTTTCGATGTAACTGATTATATGCTGCTTCTGTATATGTAATGGTTGGCCTGGACAATTGATGTTTTTGCCATTTTAAAATTTCAATTAAAAAATTTTAAAAATGTTTGCCATGATGTGTAACCACTGCATGTATCTTTACAATGATTTCTTTGTTTTAAATGGCAATTATTTAGTATCACCAGAGAATTGAATTAACACAAAATACATCATTCTAGGTAATTAGAAAATTGTTGAATGAGTATAGATCTAATTCCAGTTCCTGTAACTTGCTACAATCAATCTCCTTTGGTGCCTGTACTAACTCATTAATTTTTGCTGTTCCTTCACAGGTTTCTAGTACATATTCAACTATCTGAATTCACTTTGTAACATTATGTATGTCAACTGAGTAATTTACTAAATTTAGATATACACTTAAGTGTTAATTACATTTTAAATGTGATTTAAAAACTCATATAGTTACTTGGCACATTTTTAATATATACTTTGGTTGTGATAATATCCTATTAAGTTGGCATAGCCTCAAATGAAGTTTGAGTACTTTTATTCCTCTTATGCTAGTCTATGGTCTATTTCCAAAAGTAGTTGATTCAAGCCATCTCCTTAGTTTTCAGGCTTTCAATCCGACAATCACTTCTCTGCACTCTTAGAAGATACGCTTCTGTATTCCTGAGAAATTCAATGTAAATGTTCTCGTGGGAGCCTCCCAAAAAAGGTGACAAATGTGCTTATTGAAAGACCAGCTCATGGATCCCTGACATGGCAGTGCTGGCCACTATTAGCAAAGACTACAAACTGTACTACTTAAGTGAAAATACACTGCCTCCACTTCCCTAAAAATCCCTATTCTCTGCCCAGTCTTAGAAATGGGAATGAGAGAAGGCAAGGCAATGCAGATAGCTGCCATCTTCTTTCCCCAGAGCCAGGCTCAAGCCTGAGGGCAGGGAGGGGAGATAATTTGGAATAGATGTTAGAATTTTAAATTAAGTTCACTTAAAATTTTAGAAAACCTAAGGTGAGTCTTAATTTCCAAAACAACTATTGTTTTAGCTGGAACAGATATTTTTTTTTAGCTGGAAACATCTGCAAAGCTACTGGCATAGACTAGAAATATAGTCATAGTAAGAGATTTAAGAGGGCATCTTTAACACAATGGTAAGAGAAAAATAAACCGCTTCCTTTTCGTACCCTATTCAGTTCAGTCCATTTAATTTATCCACAATGATACTCATTTTTGATACATTACAGGAATCTTTAGAATTATATTACAGAAAAATCAACCTCCAGAACATCTTAATTCTTCTTTCTCTTCTAATTGCTTCCTCTTTTCCTACCTCTCTTCCTTCCTCCTTCCCTTCCTGCCTTTTTTCCTCTCTTCCCTCTTTCCTTCTTTCCTCCCATCCTCCCACCAATATCAAGACCATAATCTATGCCAGGCACTGCTCTAAGTAACTGGGATATACCAGTTAAAAAGAAAGAAACAATCATTGCCTGCATGGAGTTTACATTCTAGTGTCAGAGAATAAAGTTAATTACTTTGAGCCAAGACTAAGTGAATAGCAAGAGCATGTCATGAGAATATCCAGTAAAAGGTGTTGCATGTAGAGGGCATAATGAATGTAAAGACCCTGAAGCAAGAGTGTGATAGGCAGGCTTGAGGAAAAGCAGAAGCCCAAAGAGATACTGGAAAAGTAATAGGAGGCAACATTAGGAAAGTGGTGGTTAGGGGCAGATGATGTGGGATCTTGGGTCTTTAGGTTTTATTCTAAGTGGAAGGAAAAGTCACTGGATGGTTCTGACCAGATAAGTGATACAATTTGATTTTGGTTCTAAATATAGATAGACCATAGGGAGACAAAAGTGGAAGCCAGCAGATGAGTTAGAAAGCTATAATAGTAGTCCAGGCAAGAGATGATAGATGCTTTTGCTAAGTAGAGGTGGATATGATGAGACATGATTGGATTCTGGTTATAATTTGAAAATTGAGCTGAAAATTTTGCTCAAGGATTAGAGGAAAGCTATGCAAAAAAAAAGGCATCAAAGATTGTGTCCAGGTTTGTTTGTTTGTTTGTTTGCTTGTTATCTAGTGCAGAACCCTGGTGTCATTTACTGTGCTCCAAAACAAAACAGGAAGAGCAGAATTGAAGAAAAAAAATCAAGAGTCCAACTTTTGATATATTAAGTTTGAAATGCCTAGTAAACATTCTATTTGAGCTAGATGAGTCTAGCACACACACATGTAAATATGGAAGTTGTTAGTTTATAGTTGGTATTTAAAGTCAAGTGATTGCAGTTGAGCACCTAGGGAGTGGGGAGATAGAGAAAAGGAGATAGGTCAATGAACTGAGCCTTGGGTTACTCCAGTAGCTAGAGAATTGGAAATGAAAAGTATCTATCAATGGAGGCTGAGAAGGTGTGTCCAGTGATGTCCTGAAAGCTAAAGGAAGGATATGTCTCAAAAAAGGTGAACGTGATTAGTTGTTAAATGCCGCTAAGAAGCTTCATTAGATTAAAAACTGAGAACTGGATACTACTAGAATTGACAAATGTGGATGTCCTTGGTGACTTCGATGAAGAGGTTTCAGTGGAGTGGTAGAGGTGAAAGCTTGATTGAAGTTGGTTCATGGGGGAATGGAAGATAGGGAGTAGAGAGAGTGAATAGACATCCTTTAGAGTAGGTTTGTTAGAAAGAGGGGCAGAGAAAGGGAGGGGTAGCTACAGCTCAATGAGGGATCAAAAGAGGGTTTGTTTTGTTTTTAGATAGATAACATTACAGAAGGTTTGTGTGCTGGTGGAATGATCCAGTAGAGTGGGGAGAAGCCATGATGTGCGAGAGAAAGGAACAGTTGCAGAAACAAGATAGATAGAAAGGTGAAAAAATTACAATGAATAGTTTGGCCTTTGATATGACAATGACATCACTTATGTCTGGCATAAATAGAAAGAATAATACCAATCCTGTATACCTGCTGTTCAGAGTATTAGGTCAGGTAGGCCATGGGAAAGCCCTTTGTAAATGTGAAACTGCTTATAAACCTAAAGGCTTCTATTTAGTTGAGTCACTTTTACTGAATGAGATGGTTGTGTCACCTACATCTGACAGATCTATTAGCATGTGGACCTCAGACACTGATGGGGAAGGCAGCAGGGGCCTATATTCCCACATACTTATCTGAACACATACCTTTTATTTAACTAGACCAGCAACAAATATTGAAGCATCTTTGATGAGCCAAGCACTGACTTGGGCACTGGGAATACAGTGATGAAAAAGACAAAGTCGCTTCCAGTAAGGGTCTTACATTCTAATGGAGGGAGATGATGGATAGAAAGATGAATAAATAAATAAGACATTTTCTGGTGACATTTGTCATTTAAAAAAATAGGGAGATGTGATAAAGACACTGACCTCATTCCTTTGAGATTGAAATTTGTTACATATGAGGCCTATATGCTCCAGAAACAGAATGTGTTCTGATCACTGAGAGTAATTATCTCTCACCCTCACAAATTTGTGAGACAGGTGGAACAAGACAGAAATGATTCCCACTTTTCAGATGAGAAAATGCAGATTCAAGGATTTGGGGCATCAAGTTGTAAAAGGAATATTGAAATACAGATGTTTTGGCTTTGAGTTTACTGCTTTCTTTGTGATACCAGAAAAATGCATGTACAATAAATTGAAAATGCTTATAATTCTTTTCAAAAATCATCCTATATATTCAAAAACAAATACAATTATAAACATGCAGGAGTTAGAACCTCTTAGATTTCAACAGGATCCAGGAAGATTAGGTTTGCACTTTTTTTTTTTTTTTGTAAATATAATTGTTAGTTTATAGTGGATGTTAACTACATTTTTGGGAAAAATGTAAAGCTTTATATTATCAGTCAATCTTCTGTAATGACATTCTATTAGGTTGTGAGAAATTATGTGTTTTAATATCATGTTTTAAATGATTTTATTTTACTACTGTTATTCCATATTTTATGTTAAATATTAATATTTGCTCAGAGAAAGTTGTTTATACAATGTTTTTTTGAGGCTACAGACAGAGATTTTCCTAAACAGAAATAAATATTTTAAACTAATACCTTGTAAAATTTCATTTTGGAAACATGAAACCATTTGGGGAATATAATTGTGCTATTCAAGGTTGTTGGCTAAGCAACTCAAAAGCCAGGATTTCTTGTTAACTAAATGCTAAAGCAATAGATAAAAAAAAGTATGATTTCTTTAATCCCGCCTTTTTACTTGTACTTAAACTAGACAACAATTCAGATCTGTAAGACAATTTTATCTTTTAAGCTCCGGAAAATGTTGAGTCATTGGTATTGCTGCTAATTACATGTAATAGAATTTTGAAATGTAATTTCCAAACCTTTGGATTGTGGTAAAATTAAAGAGAATGTTAACTCTGAAAAATATAAAATTTCTAAAAAGGACACTGTAATATCCTAAGCTGCCTTCATCCCAGTGTTGTAGATGTAAGCTCTGGGTTTAGAAATGCTATTACAGATGTTAAAATGTATAGTGTTTATGATGATGATGGAGAGTAATTTTATGAACATGAAGCAATTGAGAATCAAGAATCAAGTGGCTTAATATTGACTTTTATTTGGGACTCCCGGACCTTTGGTAATCTTATGCATAAACTTTGAGGAAGTCAAATATCACAGGGAGTATCTAAAATTTTTGTCTGAAGGTCTTTTTGTTCTTAACTGTCAGAGAATATAAAAAATCAGCTGTGGTATTTTCAGAACTATCCAATTTCAAATGCCCTTTTATTCAGTGCTTTTATGACCAGTTGCTTGACAACATATAGATATAGTTACTTCATGTGAGTGTTCCTGTGCTGTTGGCGTTAGTGTATTTTTCTGGACATATGCTGTTGTACAGTAGTTCCCGACTTATAGATTCTAAACTGGCTCTAGTGCTTTGCATTGTTACAGATTTAGAAACTTTTGTAACTGAAAAATATTTCTCCACACATGCTTTTGGAAACATATTTTGAGACAAATATTAGTTACTAGATATATAATGTGTGCTGGGTGTGCTTTAATAGCCATTCGGTATTCATTAGACATTAAACATACTATGTATAAAATTAAGCTCTTAAAAAACCTTCCATTTTTGTATTAATTTGAATATCTAAGAGTAAATTTTGTTGCTACAACCTGAAAAGTTCAAAATATAATTATTCTAAAATATATTTTTAGTGAAAGAATATAATTTCAAAACAACATATACTTTTATAGTAATTACAACCTTTAATCTCCTCTGTTGATACTTAAATAAATTTTGCCAATTTAGGCAGTATTGGGAATATAGCTATACATACACACGAGTCATTCTTCTGCATTTATAAATTTCTGTAGGATATTTTATACATAGTTTATACATAGTTTTATACATAGTTTATACATAGTAAAAGCATACTTTTATAGTATCACCACATTATATGTCCAACATATGAAGCACATTCGAGAAACATATCCATGTAAACATTTTTTCACTGTATTTTGTTTATTATGTGGTCTTAGTTATTATAGGAGAGAGAATAGGTTAATAATATAATAGATCAAGAAGAGTAGCATAGGATTAATTCAACACAAACATTCATGTAAATGACTGAATTTAAAATAACCACTTACTAGATCTACGTTTAGCAAATACCTGAAAGGCAAAAGTTTAGACTGTTAACTTTGTGGAGATAGTGGCTCTGAAGACAGTTTCAGGTTAAAGTAGTTGTATGTTTGAACTAAAAACAATGTGCATAGGAGTCCTATGCAATTCTAGGGGATTATTATTTCCTTTTAAGAAAAACACCGCCCTGTGGATCACCACGTCCAGATTTGTACAAAGAAAAACTAGTTCAGGGCTGAGACTGAGAGCTGATACATTTCAAGGAGGACTGGGCAGCTGCACTTGTGAGCGGTGACAGATCTCTGTGAAATATAATCCTGATTAAAAATGCATGTGTGAAACCTCTTCGAATAAAGCTCTGTGTCCAACAGCATTTTCAGAGCTCCTGCATGTAAGAAGGGAAGACTAATGTAGCTACTCTTGTACTATTCACTCCATCATTTGCTGGCTGTTTTACATTTCTGAAATTATCTCTTACTGTAACATTGAAGTAGGCAGAATTATTTTTGTTTGTTAAAAAAGTCATTGATACAAGTGAGTTTAATAATTTAGAAATTCACTGCACACACATACATGGACTTTTTATAAATATGTCAAAATCAAATAAATACAGAGTGATAGAAAGTTTTGATGTAGATGAACACCAGTGACTATGATATGTAGGCCTCCACTAGTGCTGTGTCATATAAAAAGGCATTTGTGCAATTACTTCATACAGATTAGCAACTCTATTGTTGTGACTGTATTATTCTTGCGGTGCCAAAGCTGTAATCAATTATTGAACAATTTAAGTGTGTTTGTAAACTAATTTTGTTTTTTGGGGTCCAGATTTGAGGGAATTAAGGTATAAAGCCTGGGAATCTTCTAAAATAGAGATGAGATATATCTGTCTAGTTAAACATAAAAACAAATAATGCAACTATGGAGAAATCTGAGCAAGGCAAATTGCCTTGTGTTCCAGTTATTACAACTGTGTGTAATTTTGATCCTAAGATTATGGCCTAGATGCCTTATTATGGCCATGTCCTTTGTTGGGATCTAAAATATGATCATAAACCATGCAAATGTTCACTTCTTTAAAACCTTAGAAAATAAAGATTTGAGGAGGAAATCAGTAGAGTGACACAGAGGAGTAACAGAGTATAAGCACTTGTCTGGAACTGCACATGTATCTAGCTAGTTGTATAATTGTTATATATATGTATATATATATATATATATACATATATATATATATATACACACAGATATAAACATAGATAAATGCACCCACATATCTATAATAAATATATCAGGAAAATATTTATTGAGCTTCTTCCATGGGCTCTATGACTTTATGATGGGTATAGCTTTCTAGGTGCCCTAAATATTTATTTTTAATGGCTATATTTTTAAAATCTTATCAATACTCCCTGAACAACATCTCCCCATTTCCCCTACTCCCAAACCCTGGCAATCACTATTCCACTTAATGATGATTTTAATAGATGAGTGTTTTATTTGATGTCATTTAGAAAAAAATGATAATCTGAAGTTTTCTACATAATAACAAATTCCTGCTGAGAACATTTTAAAATGTAATTCACCAAATAAAATATAATTCTAAATTTCCATTTGTAGAATGTGTGTAGAAGGAGTGGCCTGTGCGAGTTTCTTTATCTTGCTTTTTCCTATATGCCTCAGTCTAGTGCACTATGAATATCTGGTAGTCTGCAGTTCTTCACAGGAAGATATGAAAATTAACTCACAAATGCAATGCATCTAACATATTGGTACCAAGTTTTTTTTTTAATCATGTAATTATTAAAGTATTCAAGATTTTGAGTTCTGATTTTGTAAAACCTGATGAACAGGTGATAGGAATAAGTTTGTCTTCTTTTGAAGGGACATTCATATTTTAAGGGACGTTTTAAGATAAAATGCCCATCTATAAAAAAAGTCTTCCTTCCCATATAATTTTTAAAAATACAGTGGGACTTCAAGTTAATATTCGCACTTAAAAGACCTAGGTAAGGCCAGGTGCAGCTTTACTATTTATGCCTGTAGTAAAGCTTCAAAGCCGAAAATGTTATTAAGTGTAAGCTAACTTCTCTTTTTTACATATTCAATTAACATGTATTGAATAGTTATTGACAATGTAAGTTTGCAGTTACTCAATTTTAATTAGAGTATTAAAATGGGTACTCTCTGAGGGACAAATAGTGGTGTTTATTATCTCTAAATTTGAGATTTCAACTTATTATGCCTTAAATTTTGTCTTCCCTAATATTTGTGTATATTTTCAATAATATCTATTCTTCCTTATAGGAGAATTAATCCTATAAAAAGATTCCTTTATAATGTAGATGCATAAAGAGCAATACTTATTATATATTGTCATTTTCCTAAAAGTAATAATTTTTGAAAAGTATATTATATATAGTTTAATGACAATATATAGAACATAAGATAGTGGATGAATTTCTACCACAAAATATGTTGCAGGTACAAACCAATGAATAAAAATTACTGTCACTGAACAACAACAACCAAAAGCTTTCTAAAATATTTAAGACCTTGGATATTTTTTTCTAATCCCTTGGTGCCTTTTAACAAGTGAAACTATTTTTTTTAAATAAGATTGTCAATGGCTGTTTTTTCAGATTTATTGGGGGCCCCATTTAGCTAGAGTAACTGTCTTTTGTGTTTTAACTGTATAAAAAGCTTTCTCATGTATTATTTTCCTAGTACACATGTTCACACATGAAAATGCATGCAGAGAAGTTCGCCAAAGTGAAAGGCTGATCACCTTCATGTAAAATGTGATCCTTTATGTCTGGTGCAAATATCAAATGAATAAAGCGTACATGCATTTTTCTTTGCTGATATCCTCTTACTAATGAATGCTTAGATAGTAGAAGTGAAATGTAATTTATCTTCGTCATTGTGTATATTTTACTTTATTTGCAATTAATTCTCTTGCTATATTACATCTATGTTAATATATGTTTTCTTACAAATTCTAAGGAGAGTACTGACTTTAATTTATTTCCCATCTTGCAGTTAATTTAAGCAGGGGTTTAATACCAGTGATCTCCTTTCTTAGTAACAAATACACATAGTGAGTGTTCTGAGATTAGTGTATGAACCCAGAATTCAGAAATGGGTTTTTATTATTCCTTTTGATTTAAAATAAATTACCAATTATTAGCTTAAAAATTCACATTGAGAATTAGTAGTCTCAGATTGCTATTTAATTCATTCCTGTTATTTTAAACTTTAAATTACTGATATTAATATTAGCGTTTTTGAGCAACATTTCTAGGGTAAACAGGTTCTCTAATATTCATAGTCTGAAATCACTGTGTGTATATATATGTATGTGAAGAATTAAAAAAAATTTATGTGGAAAATTAAAATCTAAATATTTATAAAAATATTTGTTTTTCATGATGTTACTTCCAGAGTTCTATAAAGACAGTTACATGAATTTTTGTGTATATTAAAATAGTGACTTTTAATTACAGTTTCACAAATAAAAATTAATAAGATAAAAATCACTCAATAGATTCACTGACAAGAATTGTCATTGAATGTTATTAGACATCTAACATTTGACATGTCAATTGTCATCCCCTTGAAAAAGATAATTTGTAAAACAAGTCTGTTTAGGAAACAGAAAAGAAAAAAACTGTAACTTTTAAACCAATTCTAGCTCAATAGGAATAAAATCTATTATGATTATAAAACAGTCACAGTGCTGGAAGGGAGACAGAAGAGGTAAAGAGAAGTAAAAATGTTTCGAACATTGAAAAATCCTTTATTTTAGTGCTTATAATCATATGTAGAGTGCTTCATTTTGAAGTGCAATTTAAAATACTAACTGTTGTGACAACTTGGGGTGAAAGTTCCTTCTGTATTTTATACCTGGACAGAGGATACATGGGCCCGTCCTAGCTATAGTTTTTATTACAGGTCTTCCCAAGAAAGAGTTTGGAGTTTCCTTTTTAAATCCTCATCCAGTGATGTTTTACTTATCATACAGTACAATATCATATGGTGTCTTCAGCAAACAGAATGTAAAAAATTCAAGAAGCCCTACATGTAAGAATGTGAATGTTGACCCTTATTTCTGACTGACCTTGCTGATATACCTTCCATATAAAGTAGCTATGGGCCTTGCAAGGCTTCTAGTGACTGTTATTTGAATAATAAATGTAGAATCTAGAGAAATATGTTTTTTCTTAGCATTAACACACAGGTACAGCAAATGGTAACACGCCAACTGGCCCAGAGTCCTTAGTTAAATCATCAGTTTGTTAACTGCTGTTTGCAGGGTAAACCCTCCCTCTGGAATGAACTTCTTTAAAGCAAAATGAAATAAAATAAAGGTAAGTAAAAGTAAATAGATTTTCCTATTGAAAGTTATTACTTCAGGAATGAAGAAGATGGATATTGATCGGCACCATCCTTTGCCATTACTGTCAGGTCCACGCAGATAGCTAAGACACTTTATTCTAAGCAAACAGCCATTTTCTCTTCTGACATGGGATTCCAGTGAGAATTGAAAAAAGTAAAAGGTTGGTAAAAACATTTTTCTGTCCTTCTTACAGGGACAATTTATGTTGAAGTAACAGTTTGTGAGGTACTTGCACTTGTTATTGATTTATTTCTTCTTTGTCATGAACAATCTCCTGTTTTATAATACAGTTACTCTTGTATACTGTTCCTAGGCAGTAATTTAGAAATAATTTTCATTGCAACAATGTCCTGAGGGGCTCAAAATATTGGAAGTATATGAATAAAAGAATAAACATGTGTAAACCTTTTCTAGGTGTTATCTAGGTGTTTTTAGTACATTGATATTTGCAATATTTGTTTTTAGCACTAATAAAAGACACAATATCATGATGAGCTATTGTCATAACATCGCAAATGGAATTCTAAATCCATGAAGTCCCCATGGCTTTTGGTCAAATAAACCCTCCAATATGACCTTGGGAATCCATGGACTGGAAAACAGAAAAGAGTGTGAATAACATAATCTTAGCGTACTCAGGTTATAATTTATTACTATCAGAGACTGGCTAAGTCTCTGTTGATAAGAAAGCAATTCTGAGTGAAAAATCTAGTAAACCTGAAGAAAAACTGTTGTTTAAATCAATAAATATCTTTGAGATATGCACCTATAAATTTTCCCACTAGTGCATGTATAAACATCCACTTTACTCTCTGTGTTCACCTATACAGTATACAATTGTTTCCTCCAAAAAAAAATCAATATGGCTGTGATTCCGCTATAGTTCATTCACTGTTTATGGATAGGGATTAATGTTTGACCTCTCCTTGCCTTCTTGACTTGAACCAATTACTTTAGAATAATTTTTCTGGTTTAACTTTTTATCACGTTTTCTGACATTTTAGTGAATAATATTTGACAGCTATGAACATCTGCAAAAGTTATTGTTATCATAACTTGAGCTCAATGGAACTACTGTCACTGATGCTCTAAAGATCATATTGCACTGCAGAGTATGAACACACTTACATTAAAAATTTATTTGATTTTTCAGTAGGAATCTTTGCTTAGTTTGCTTTAACAAAGGCAGACTGTTTCAAATTTTTTTTTGAAAATGTTACCTGAAGGTGGGAAGTGAATTTGCATTCTGTACAGGGGAAGTCTCAAAGTCTCTATTTTTCATTCTGGAATTTTATATGTTACTGTTATGCAGGAAACAGCTTTTAATCTTCTCTATCTCTGTCTACTTTTTCTTAAATGAATAAAACAAAAATCTTTGGAACATGAACACTGAAACCCAGCTTTGTGCATCATAGGTTTGTGAGTAATTTCTGATAAAAGTATTTCATTTTAGTGTCCTGATTTCTTATTCAGTTTGCACTCAGGGAAACTGGTATATTGCATTCTCCTTGAAGAAAGCCATAGAGAGAGAAAATGCAGTTAGTCATTTATGTGCATATAACAATATAAATTGTAAAGATTAAGGGGAATCATTTTGGGGAGGATCACAATTTTGCAACTAAACGCACTTAAATAATTACCTTTTTAAGCAACTTTTATTGACTATGCAGCAGGATAAAAAGTAATCTTACTTGTTTTAAATGGCATAAAGCAACCAAATGCCATTAGCAGAGTGTTACATTTCTTATTTCACTAAGATTGTTGAAGCTTACCAGAAAGAGATAAAAAATGTATAAATTCAGGAACACTGGCTAGTAATATCCCAAACCATTGTCAGTGGACTCCTACTTTCTCCTGCCAAAATATGTGGAAGCATGCATGGATTGTACTAGATTAGTAAGAGGGGCTCGTTTCCGTGGCATTAGCCAGGTATCTTAGCAACAAGACCATACCAGATTCTAGCAGTGCTCTGTGGTGGTGCATGTAATATCCTGGACATAATCTGTCTTTTAATTTTCTTTGGATTGTAGTGATATTACAGATACATGTGTTCAGTTATAGATCTTTATTTAATAAGAAGAATGCCTTAGCTGAAGATTTGTACTATGCCAGGAGTGGGCAACTCACAATAATGTTGCTGGCGTTTTAGCCGAGGTACTGCCTTGTCTCGCATTTCAGATTGACAGGAAAACTTACTCCCTTCATTAAGATGTGCCTCATAGTTCATATCTTTATGCTGTGGAGATGAGGATGCTGCTGGAATTCATAATACTAAGAACGTTATTTAATGTCAGATAGAATGCAAATTGCTCGTACAATTGAAATGTCATCTAAAACATGCCACCGTATGCAACACCACTTTATTATAAGTCACTGAGAGCAATATCTTAAATTTGGAATTGCACTAATCCTTCATCTGCTTTGTTTACCTTTCATCTATAATAGAGATGTCGAATTTCCTCCAAACTGGATTTGCATGTTTTAACTGCTTGCTCACATAGCTGAATATGTGTGGAAGAACCATATAGGGGTACTTCCTTTGATTTTCTTGTCTTTTTGTTGTTTGTTTAATGCAAATTAACAGCAAAAGATAGCTTTCAAATATGAGACAAAATGCCGTGTCAACCCTTTTGGGGAAATAAGCTAAAGCTTATGAAGGAACATTTGATTATTTAAAGGACAAATTATAATACAAATATGCTGTCGGTTTATTGGTAATTGATTTTCTTGGTAATTTAGTTTCATGCAGTATTTTCTTGCATTAATTGAAACAATAATTTTATAAGATTAATTTTTTTCACAGTGAAATTACATGTGAGCTATTTAAGACATTTGTCATGCTTGCTTGGAGAAAGTGTCCAGAACAATTGCCATCCAAAATAAAGCTATCTTGACATAAAAAATGTTGTTTGTATGCAAGCGTTCTTACCTTGAGTTCTAAATATTCATTCAAGATGATGGCTTATCTTTTATAGATCAGTTTTCAGTACCAAAGAAGTCCCAGGACACCTCTTGAATCTGTAAATTCTAGGGTTTTCCATAAATAATTACATTTTTACAGAGATGAGAGTTGTAAGAAGGAAAGTAGGAAGAAAGAAGAAAGTCCTTAAAACCCCACTCTTTGGGTCTGTCCCCTCCTACTCAAGATCCCCTCTTCTTGCAGCACAGCTTTTCCCAAACGATTTAGGCTCTTAAATGCTTAGTACCTTTTGATAGGCTGCAGTGAAGATTCTGTTTTGTTTGCTTCATATTATATAGTATTTTCGTTGTTCATAACAGAGTATTCTAAATCTCAATATGCATTTGTAGGGTCTTAGAGTTGTACCTCAAAAAGATTATTTCTTGGTGATTATATTTGATATAAAACTTATGTAAGAGTGCCAGGACTCCCAAAGTTCAAACTCTTCCAATTAGATAAATATCTTGGTTTTTGTTTGTTTGGTTGGTTGGTTGGTTGGTTAGTTGGTTTTTTGAGACAGAGTCTCAGTCTGTCACCCAGGCTGGAGAGCAGTGGTGCTATCTCAGCTCACTGCAACTTCCACCTCCCAGGTTCAAGTGATTCTTGTGCCTTAGCCTTCCGAGTGGCTGGGATTACAGGCACACGCCACCACACCCAGCTTATTTTTGTATTTTTAGTAGATACATGGTTTGGCCATGTTGCCCAGGCTGGTCTCGAACCCCTGGGCTCAAGTGATTGCATACCTTGGCCTCCTAAAGGGCTGGAACTACAAGCATGAGCCACCGCACCTGGGCCCTAGTTAGATATATATCTTATATATCATTTGGTATAAGAATCTGTATAAGGCTACAAAAAATTATTTGTATTTATGAAGACATGCTGTGACTCCTTGCAAGGAACAGCCTAAAGTAACCACTATGATATGGTTATTGCCATAATGCTATAACATTTCCTCTAGTTTTTAAAAGATCTCTAGAGCTGGGCCGGGCGCGGTAGCTCATGCCTGTAATCCCAGCACTTTGGGAGGCCGAGGCGGGCAGATCATGAGGTCAAGAGATTGAGACCATCTTGGCCAACATGGTGAAACCCCGTCTCTACTAAAAATACAAAACTTAGCTGGGTGAGGTGGCACGTGCCTGTATTCTCAGCTACTCAGGAGGCTGAGGCAGGAGAATCGCTTGAACCCAGGTGCTGGAGGTTTCAGTGTGCTGAGATCGTGCCACTGCACTCCAGCCTGGGCAACAGAGTGAGACTCCATCTCAAGAAAAAAAAAAAAATCTCTGGAGCTATTATACAACTCTCAAAGAGTTGTCTGAAGATTTCAAGACTTAGAATCACTTGATATATTTATGAAAAAGTTAGATTCCTAGGCCTTTGCCCAGACTCATTATGTAAGAGTCTCTATGGGTTTAGAAATAGCTCCAAGTTTTTCTTTGACACATTAGAATTTGGAACCATTAATTTAAAATAATGAATGGCAATTAATACAAAGCTTAATTTTCATAATAAGGGTTAGTTTTGGCAAGTTAGACCATGTTATGTTTTATATGTGTGTGTGTGTGTGTAGGTTGTGTAACATATATGATATAAATATGTTACACATATGTAAAATTGGAGATTTTACCAAAAAATAAGTTGAAACATTGGGCTTGGGATTTCTTTTAAAAAAGTCAAAATTATGTAATTTGTCATTACATAATTTGAGTTATTTTCATTTTTGCCTTTTTTTTTTTTTTTAGAGACAAAGCCTTGCTTTGGTAGTTCACTATAATCTCTAACTTCTGGGCTGAGGCAAGCTTCCTGCCTCAGTGTCCCAAGTAGCTAGAACTGCAGACACATGCCACCATGCCCAGTTAATTTAAAAAATTTTTTTGCAGAGATGCTATGTTGCCCAGGCTGGTCTTGAACTCCTGGCCTCAAGTGATCTTCCTGCTTTGGCCTCCCAAAGTGCTAGGTCTACAGGCATGAGCCACACCACCTGGCCTTGCCTAGGTCTTTTAAGTGAGAATATTAACTTGAAGTTCCACTGTATTTTTAAAAATCACATGGGAAAGAGGACTTTTTTATAGATGGGAATTTTATCTTAAAATGTCCCTTAAAATATGAAAACTCAGACATGTATTTTATAAATACATAATATAAAAATATAAATTTTTGCCTTCCTTGATGTAAAAAAAAAGGATGAAGATAAAATCAAGAACTAAGTTTTTATTCTGTATTTGGTCTGGCTACTGACTTTGAAGTCAAGTTACATTTTTGTTTCTCCTTGCACAATTCTCAGTAACCAGTCTTGCATTTACCAACGTCTTGGGTCCAGAAGCATCCCGGGGTTTTGTGTAAACTAAATATAGAAATCAATTTAGCCAACTGTGAGGTATAATCATCTCTTGGGTGTAAAATGACATCTGGTTCTTTGTGTCATCTGCATTATATAGCCACACTAAAGAAAAAATGACACACAGAAAGACAAAGATAAATTCAAATTCATGTCAACATAATGGAATTCCCAGGCTGATGATATATGACTGATGATTAACCCAACAATTGGCAAATGGTTTAGTAATAGATGCACATAATTCCAGAGACTGACAAGCCAATAGCTGGTCTCAGGCTCAGATATACATGAACAGTTATTCTGTGCTACCTCTTTGTAGGTGTGGTGTACCAAGATATAATCAAATACAGAAATGTTTCTAATGCTTACCTCAGAATGTCAAGCATTACTTAGAATGATGTATCTGATATGCAACTTGGTAGTTTATCATAAAATACTCTTTTTAAAATTTGAAAAATTGCTACTATTTGATGTCTCCAAAATGTTCATTATAACTTCGACGTTTTTCATACACAACAGTTGTACCTCTAGCTACCTTTCTTTAGAAACTATGTTATTATCTCAAATTCAGCCTTTCTAAAATCAAAATTAATGTTTTCCTCTGAACACAAGATCCTATTACTGATTTCTCAGTTCTGTTGCACCACTATTTTCCCTTATTACTTGTGTTCAAAGCCTTTCAGGGATGTTTTGGTACAGTACATGTGCTAAAACTTCTAGTCATTTTGCACATGATATCATTGTGAAACAGGTTTATTTTGAAAACATGCCATGGATACATTGGGAAAAAAACACCTTTAGTTCAAGATATCAAACCAGCTTTCTCAATACCCAATTAAATTATACATCCTGCTTCTAACCACATAAAATGAGAGAATATGACACTTTAGGAAAGATTTGATCATCTAAATAAAACTAGCAGCAAGGAATAGAACATATAGTGGAATTTTTACCTGAAAAAAAATCAAGACCCTATTTCTCTCTTGATGAGGAAAGAGTTTCTGATTTTATAGAAATCATCTGTTTACACCACAAAAGAATATTTTATCTTTTAAGCCATTGTGCATCAAGGTGAATTGAGTTTATCTTTTTAAAAAATGTGGCAGGGTGATTTTTTGTTTTTTTCCCCACTTCTTCCTGGTGATTTTCCTGGGCACAGCCTACACCAAGAATCGGATTACCGAAGCACCCATTGATGATGTAACCTAATGTGGAGACTCTTGGAATCCTGGGGAGAAGACAAAGAGATGAGAGTGTCAGCTCCCCAATTTTAGAGACCTGTATCAGATGAACTGGGGAAGAGAGCTGGAGAATTTGAAGAGTGGAAAGCACACTTAACTTTCTCCTCATGCTCCATCTCAGACTCTGTCTGAATTGGAAGAGATAATTAAAACCAAACAATAAAGATGTTCTCTGTATGCATCTGGGTCCTGGCTAACAGGACTTTGGTTTAAAAATGGGCCATACAACTGTTTTTCTCTACAGCAAAGGACATGATACTGGAGATAGAATCCTCTTCAGGATAGAATCCTGGAGGGCTATTTCTCTATATGGCAATGTTATGTTTTAGGTCATGCCCCATTACAACAATGTTGACAAGAAAGCTCACAGAAGAGATTTGTGAAGGATAAGGAGTTAGTAAGGAAGAGCCAATTCTTGACAGGGCTGATATTTACCTCCAAGTGTCATCATGAATTTGAATATTGCTAATATAACATTTTCCCATCATAATTGCAAACACTCTGTTTTTACAAGGTAGCAGGCCAGACTGTTGGAAATTGGCAAAATAAGATGCAAATAAGCACATCCACATTTTTGGGGGCTGCCATGACAGAAGAGGTTCTTTCATACACATCTCATATTTTGCAGAGTAGTTTGGTCCTTTCTAGCTTATCATCCTTCTCATGTGTAATGGGACAGAGAGAGTTAGAGACAATTAAAAAATCAATGAGAATCCTGTTACTAGAGAATTCACTGCAGCCCTACTACTAGAGAACTGAGAAATCCCCCAAATCAGTGACTGCAAATCACCAACAAATCCTGAGCACTTCTTATGTGCCATAAATTTGCCAAGTGCTTGACATGATGTATGTCTTTCAATCCTCATCACAATTCTGTGAGATAGAGACTATTAACCAATAGGTTTGGTGAGGTTAAATAACTGTGATAAAATCATTCAGCAGATAATAATAAGAATACTTATCATGATAAAGCAAACAGTTGCATAGAACTTACTGAGGACATTCTACTGCTAAGTGATCAATACATACTAAAAAGTTTAAACCCACAGCAACCCTGTGAGGTAGGTTCTATAATTACTATAATTATTCTTGTTTTTATAGATAATTAAGTTGAGGCCTGGAAAGATTAAGTTGCTTTCCCAAGTCACAAATCTAGTAAATGGTAGAATTAGGATTCAAAATTAGGATTTCAGGCCTCACAATCTGTACTCTTTACCATGAAGCTATGGGAATACATTATAGAGCCATAGATCCAAGGCAGGAAACCTTACCTCCCAAATCCAAGCTTTTGCCGTCAAAACCTAAGTGTCTGCATACATAAAAAATAGTTACAGAATGAATAAGACCTACTATTTGATAGCACAACAGGGTGACTATAGTCAATGATAACTTAATTGTACATTTCAAAATAACTAAAAGAGTATAACTGGATTGTTTGTAACAAAAGGATAAATGCTTGAGGAGATGGGCACCCAATCCTCTGTGATGTGGTTATTAAGCACTGTATGCCTGTATAAAAACATCTCATGTACCCTATAAATATATAAACCTACTATGTACCCATAAAAATTAAAAATAAGAAAATTAATAATAAAAAACCTAAGTGTCACCCCTTGAAACACAGCTATTGATATAAACGTATTGTCTTTTTTTGTTTTTCATAGTTTTGACATATTAATGTAGATATTAAACATATTCTATTGATATGATTTATTCTCAACAAAGGATTGTGATTAAAGCAATGGAAAATAAGGACACAAAGATATGAGAAGGCAAGCACTTTGAGATGTTCATCTCTCCATTATTTTGAGCCTTTAGGTCAACTTCTTTTGAATAAATGTGTAGGTTAGTAAACTGAGTGAACTATAGAAAATTGCGTTATTGACCTATTTTTGTGTGTGTGGTTATACCACTTAACAAGTAAGTGATCTCCAAGAAAATCAGTCCTAAGTCAAAACATACAGTATTGAGTAAATTAATGTGTCTTTACTACTGGTGGGCAATAATGAATATTCTGCTAATCTTTAGAATTATTGCAATCAGCACCCAGCACTACATCGCAGACTTCCTTCATGACTTAATCTTTACCTTTAATCTGAAATTGATTTTACATTTGTAATTATTGGTCTCCTATGTGGTTTTTGGCCTTTACCAGCTATGCAAAACAATAGCTGGCTACTAGAAGGCATTTTATTATAATCTTACTATTTTTACCAAGATTGAATGGTAAAAATATGTCACCACTATTATGATGTCATTTTAAACTTGAATAAGCTTAGACCACTTATTGAAAAATCCTGGGTAATTTTAAATTGATGTTGACATTAAAAAGGATTGCCTATAATGATAGTGTCTTGTAGCTTTAAGTAGCAGTCTGAAGTAAATCTAGTAATAATTATGGTTACATCTTGATCACTTGCCTTTTCCTCTTTATTAACCTTGTAAGGAAACATATTGTTAGAGTCATCTTTAATCCCTACAAAAAATTAATCCCCTTCCATCCCCTCTTAGACCTTAAAACAAGAATAGAGAATGTGAGTTCAGTGCTTGAACTTTTTTCCTGGACAGATTCCCACATGGAAAACTGAGGCAAGTCTACTAAAAGCTAAGTACCTTCATCACACATCAGCTTCGAGGGCCTTCTGTTACTGTCGGTCCATCTCTTCATCTCTCTGGGGAGGAGCCCCAACACACACAACCCAGGGCCTGCTGGAACCAGCCAGTGGTAGAGCTGTCAAGGCCAGCCTATTTGAAAAGAAAATAATGAAAGACAAAATCTCATCAGCTAACCTGAATTTCTGATCCCCGGAGGGTGCTCTAAGAAAAGTTGGAAAAGATTATGTAAAATAGCTCTCATATGTTAGGCAGGAAAAATTACTTATTGCCTCTAAACTGAAAGATTGTAAACAAAGTTTCCTATTTTTGCAAAAAAGAAAGATCAGTTGCATCAGATGCTGCTTTCAAACATAGCTTCTATAAAGTGCCATCAGGTTTAGATTCAGCCACTTGTGTCCAAGAGAGAAGGGGAGAAATGGGAGAGATTTATCTCTCTTATCTCTAAGCCTCCTTCTGTGTTGGGCAGCACCCAAAGCCTAAATAGATAGGATCCCTTATCCAAAACCCACACTTCTGCCTTTTCATCCTAAAAGTGAAACAAAACAATTTGGCAGTGCAATAATCAAAGAAACAGTAATATTTTGTAAAGAGTTGACTATGAAAATGTGACCAAATCAGTATTTGTTTACTGTCTCCCCTTATTAACAACATGCAGTTTATGTGTAAATTAAATTTGTGTAATTCTCACCTTGACTTTGAATGTGTTTCATAGTTATACCGATGCTGTTATTAATTTTAACTTATTACAAGTTGATGGTTTGTATGTATAAATGTTACAGACAAAATCAGTGAAATTTAACGTATGTGTGACCTTTAAGTGGTAATTGTGTATATTTTTTCACATATTTTAAAAGTTGCTAAATAAGTATGATAAGCTTAATTTCTTTCTCTTTCTTTCAAACTCTACCTAGCCCAAGCCTCACTATTATTTTGCATCCTTTCCTGACCAGTCTAGTCCATAGACGTCTCCTTTTTGTAAAAAGCTCAAAGAACAGTCGTTTCTAAACATTTTGCTATGAAGCAAGTTAATTTTTACCTTTTGTAGACCCTACCTATGCTTCCAGATTTTATTTAGCAAAGATGCATTTACTTCGTCATTTGTTTCTTCAGTTTCTATTTTATGGGTACTATTAACCAGCAGTAGACAATAGTGGCATTGATCTGCCAAATTTGATGAGAAGAGCCAGGTCTGGGATTTGGACTGAGTGAATGTGGGCAGATGTGGTACAGGTGTTTGGAGGACACAGAGGCTGAAGTCCTCGGACTCCGTAGCAGAGCAGAGCAGTGTGGATTAGGGCTTGGACAGAGAGAGAGCGAGCTGATGACTGGAAGTGTGTGATTGCCAGAGATGAGTGGGAATGCTGCATGAAGCCAGGAATGGGCCAGGAGCTGGATCACGCATTGTCAGCATAGGATCTGATTCCAAGTGAGAGGCAAATAGCACAAGAAGTAAATAGAGAAAAATTAAGAGCAATCATATGTCACCTGTATATTATTATATAATTCAACCATGGATCCATTCATCAAGAAAGTGCCCTTCCTTATGCCTGCAGTGTCATTCCTATTTGGGTCTTTAGGGGATCCTAAACAATTTCTGAAATAATTTTAGCTAAGTGTCTGTCTCTGGTAAATGCACATTAGCTTTTAAAAACTATTAAAAATAGTAGACATTTATGAAGAATCACTGTGCTGCCTCTTCCTATGAGAAGACTATTCTTCCCAGTCCCAATTTCCCTTGTCCAAGGAAAAGGAGTGAAAAGAACATGTGCTATTTCTGAACAATAGCTTTAAGAGCTCTCTTGTGGCTCCACCGTGTTATGTTTTCCATTTGCTATAAAACCAGCAAAGTTTTAGGTAGGGAGTAAAAATAACCTGGAACAGATATCATGTTGGATCCCAGGTGGACATGCAATGTGAGTGAAAAATCCACCTTTATTTTGTAAGTCGCTGAGATTTTTGAGATTGCTTGTTATCATGGCATTGTTTAGCCTAAGCTGACAAGTATACATTGTCATTGACATGATTGTTTATCCTGGAGGTCAGTCAATATTTGTATGGCCTTTGCATTTTTTATATAGTGTTTTTAAATCTTATTTACCTAAATTATATGTCCCTTGAGAATAACTTTAATATCTCATTTTTTTTTGTTGTTTGATCCACCATTTAAACTGTAAACCTCTGAAATAAAGAATTTTAAAATGTGTCAAGGTTAACCAGTGAACGAATAACTTAACATATACTCCATTGTAGTAACTGTGAGTGATACAAACATGTCAAAGAAAGTGCAATTAAGATAAATATTTCCATATTGACAAGTCTATGGTAATTATCAATCAATTCATCTGTTTCTGATAGTAAAACAAGCGATACTTGCTTTCTTTAATGAGACATCTGAAGGCACAGTGTGCATTTAAAAACTATAAATATATTGTTGAAATTATAAAGCATCACACTTTTAACTTGCACTACTGAAGACTGCCTAATACGGCACTTATTGTACACATTTTCAAGAAAAGAATTACTTTAAAACTAAAGTAGGGGAGGTTTCGAATGGGAAGCTTTGCTGGTAACCTCAGGATATTTACTACATTTCTGAGGCTGACCCTCACCCTTGATGTGAGAAAATTAGGTTTAATTTTCTATTGGCTGATAGATTGAAAAGAATTATAATTATACCAACTGAAGTATGATTGAGGATGCCAAGTTATTTATTTATAGAAGAGAATAGCTATGTTCATGATCCTTACTCCTGGTACTCTTATTCAGGAAAAGCCAGGGACTTGGAAGTACATACAGTTGGAACTAGTTGTTTGAGATTTTTAATGAGAAGTACATATCATGTGGCCATTTTATTGAGGTCCCAGTTGGAAGTAATGAAGTGTCTTTGTCCTGTATTAAATAATAGGTAGCGGTAGAATGCATTTGTTGGATTCATCACTGTTCTTCCCTTTTCCACTAACGTCGCTATCTGAAGTCCGTGTTCAAGCTGGGTCACCTTTTCTCATTTATATGGCATATGTATTTTTTCTTTTGATGTACTCATGTTTCCGTTATGTTTGAAGAAAACATTCTTGCCCATCAGATGGTAGAATTGCCTGATAAACCAGTATTTTTACTTAATAATCGAGCTCTTTGTGGAGAATATCCTCTTTTTATGTTTTCTGGTTTGTAAGAAGTACTTCCCAATTGCTATCATGTACTGCTTCTGAATAGTCTTGAGGCAACATGCAGGTAACTGTGAGAAAAAAGTACTTTGCTTAGTTTTGAGAAGACCTAGGTTCCAGACCAGGCTTTAGATTGTATTATCCGTGTGACTCTGATTAAATTACTTATTTTTTCCAAGGCTTGGTTTTCTAATATATAAAATAGAAGTTATGTTATCTTCATCATAGAGTGGTAAGGATAAATAAATGCTATGCAAATATGGGCTAATATAAACATAGACTCGAGGGAGCCATTAGATAGCACAACCAGAGCTCTATGTGTTCTTAAACTTCTCTCCTACAGCCTAGACTGTAGTGGCTGGACCATGTATATAAGGAATTGTATCTTCTCCTGGAAAGGTCCTTGTCTTCCTCCCACCATCTGATTCATAGTCTTTCACTGCAGTTTGATGAAAAGACCCTTAGGAGTAATTTGGTCATGGTCTGTGTCCGTGTTTACCTCAGTCAACATAAGATACCCCAAAACTCCCAAGTCATCTTTTATGCCTTAGACTTCCATGCCTATATGGTTCTGTGTATTCCATAATTTGACTCACCCCAACACTTTCAGTCATTAGCAAAATCTTCGATGTCAGAGGTAGAAAACATTATTTTTAAAGGGCCAGATAGAAAATATTTTAGGCTTTGGGAGCTGAGAGACAAAATCAAGGACATCATGGAGGTATTTCTATAACCATTAAAAATGTAACTATTTAAAAATATAAAACCTATTCTTAGCACCTGGACATAAAAACAGGAGTTTGGCTGTCTGACCACAGCTTGGCGACCCCTGCTCTGTATCTTCAGTTTCTTCACGAAACTTTCTCTGCCGCCTGTTGGTTTATGTGGACCCTGGCTCTCCCCAAGCACTGCTCCCTGAGCACACCTCTATGTGTTGTCCCCATTAACGATGATTTTTTTCCTTCTACAACCTTCATATCACCATGCCTGGAGGTAAAGGTAAGAGTCTTCCTAGATCTCATTGCTGCCTGCAGACCATTGTGACAACCATCCTTCCCTTTCAAACATTCCTTCTCAGAAACATATGCTGCTCGATTATTCTACCTTCTATTCATTCTTGCCATAATAATCACCAGATTTCTGAGACACTACTTCCTCATCTCGTCAACTTACAATCATAAGTAGATCCTATCCGTTACTTTACCATTTATCCTGCTCCAACACAACTCCTGTCATAAATCATTGTGATTTCGATATCTATGCAGACAAACCTTTCTAGCATCCTGACTGCTCAGGTCCTTGACCTCCTCATCTGATTAACTTGTCTTCCAGTGTACCTTAGTCGCTGTAGCTATGCTTAGATCTTGGTGTTATGAATTATTGCACCTTTTCATAATCTCAACTTTAAGCACTCCAATCTCAGACTTTTGCATGCCTACTTCATTCTCACTCTCTCTAGTACTTTAATTCCAAAATGCCTTTCTTTCTAGTTCCTATTTTTCCACTGTCCATCATATCCTTATCCTCACCCAGCTTAGATGCTGTGGTCCATCATTATACTGACTTTCCTGCATACCACCTCAGCTATTTGCTCATCCATTATCTTGGCTTAGAAAAATCCCAAGCTTATTAAATTCAACTCCTAACTCACTATTCAGCTGCCCAAGCAGCTGACTTGAGCTGAAGAAAACCATACAACCAGGTTCTTGTGTCTCTCATTAAGTTCATGACCACTAATCTCAGGTGGGCTCTTAGTGCTGCCCTGTAACACTCCTCTTTATCCTTAGGTTCTGTACTCCTCTCCTAGAAGATTATTTCACACCTTAAAAAAAAAAAAAAACCTCTCTAATTTCCCACGTCTTTCTTCTGCCATCTTTCAAAATATGACCTTTTTTCTTATTTCATTGAAATAATGGAAACAATCAAAAGGCAATTTCAGTGTGCTTCTGCAACAAATCTAGCAACCTGCACACATCAGTCCCTAAACATTCTACCTTCCCTCCAGGTAGAAACTATACATTGCCTTTGCTCCCTCTAAGGCTAGCCCCTCTTTCATGCATTGTGTTCCCCATCATATCTTAGGGACATTGTTTCTACATTTGCTTTGTCTATCCCGTATCAGATTATATCCATCTGCAGGAACATTCCCAATGTTATACATCTATGCTTTAATATCACACATTATAGAAGAAAGTCATTTGGCCTCGATATACATCCAGATACCTCCCAAGTTTTCTGCTAACTTTTATAAAAAATGACCTCAAAAGATTGTATTTAATCTCTCTCCACTTTTACACCCATTCTCTCTTTAAGATACTTCGTTCTGGTTTCACCTCCAACCACTTCACAGGCACAGCTTTTGTCATGTTGTGAAAGGGCTCCATATAGCAAAATCCAGTGGGCACTTTTATTTTCTTATTTCACTTACTGGGAAGCAGGTTTTGACACAGCTGACGATTTCCTCCTTGAGACATGCTTGACCTCTGGAATACCACTCTCCTTTCATGATCCTTTTACCTCATTAGATGCTCCTTCTGGGCTTGTTCCTCTTTATCTTCACATCTGAACATGGTAGATATCCAGGGTTCAGTCTATGTACCTTCTGTACTCTCTCTTTCTATATTCAGTTTTTGGTGAACTAATTCAGTTAGTTTAGCTTTAAATGTCATTTATACACTATTTCCAGAATCACTTCCTTTGAATTCTAGATTCTAATATCTTACTGCCTATCTAACATGTCTAGTTGGATGTCTCATATGAACTTCAACTCTAATTTGTCCAAGTCCAAGTTATATATTTTATCCCAAATCCCACTGCTAAAACCTCCTCCTCATGCAGTACTACCATCTCAGTAAACCAGAATTCTATTCATCCAGTTGCTTGGGTCAAAAAAAAAATGAGGCTTTTTTGACTCTTCTTTTCCCCCTCACACAATCTAACACAGTTCTGTTGATTTTACCTTCAAGTTTTGTTTAGAATCTCACCAATTCTCACTATCTCCATCTCTCATATCTTAGTCCAAGGTAGCGTTATCTCTTACCTGAATGCTTTCAGTTGTCTAAGTCATGTTTTTTTTCTTTTTTCCACCCCAATTTCTCTATAGTCTGTTTTTGAAGCAAAAAATATTCTATTAAAATATAAGTCACAGACTGTTTTTTTTCCTGCTTAAAACCCCAATGGCTTTACATTTCTATTATTTCTTTGAGAATTTCTTGCCTTCTCTATTTCTAATAGTAAGATGCTAGAAATCTTAGCTTATTCCTTCATGTTTTGTTTCTTTCTTTCATATTTGGTGTCATTGTATTTTTCTCTATAATCTTGGATATTTCCTTGGCTTTATTTTCTTGTCCATTAATTAAAAATTTTAATTTCAGAGATCTTAGTTTCACTTTCTACAAACTTTCTCAGAAACCTGTATAGTTTCTTTGTAGAGCATTCTATTCTTATTTTGTAAATATAATGCTTTCTTGAAACTACATAAATGTGAATTCGTGAATTCTTTTTTTTCTATTTTTAATTGCCTGTTTATTCTATGATCATTTTCCCGTTTAATTTATATAGATCTTTCTCCTTTATGCTGTTCTTTTTTGTCTGAAAAATCTTGGTTGTCTGTTTATAGTCAATCGAGAAGTATTAGTTAACTAGTGTGCATTTTCTCTGCTAATAGGTAAATGTTAGGTGTGTCCCATGAATGGTAGACTTGGAGCTCAGTGTGTGGCTGGACATAGTTTATTGACTGGGTGGCTTAACTTTAAATTGAATGAGCAGAGGAGAGCTATTAGGTCTCAGGTCCCCCAGAATTCCAAACAAAGTGCTTTATTCTTGGCAGACGCATTCACAGCAGAAACCTTGATTTAACCAAGTAGGTCTACTCAAACTCTTCAGAAAAGAATCCCCTGGGGATTTTACCAGAGGAGAAACACTCTGAATTTTTCATTGCTGCCAACTGGGGGTACTGATTGGTGAATTGTACCATATACAGATCTTCATTTAACATCTTTTTTTCATCCTCATTTGTTCTTGACATAACTTCATTATAATCCCTCACAGCACATCTTGAACTTAAACTGTTTTGTATAGTTTCAGCCATCCATTAGCTTTCATGCTTCTTTTACTTTCAGAAATGAATTAAAGTGTTTTCTCTACTGATGACTCAATTTCCTTGCTTTAATTTCTCCTTCTGGTTATAAATTTTTTATTTTTATTGTTTATAGTTCTACAGCTTAGTAGGCATGACCAGGTTTGTGACATGAAAGAAACAACTTTACCTGTCCATCTGTTGCAGAGTTTGTGCTATTTAATGAGATCATCATATTTTCTCTGTGGGTTTTCCATTTTGATGAACATATAATTTCCTTAATTTTTTTCTCCCAAATTCTGGAAGGGCTATTCACTTCATCTATATCAATTACAAAACCAATGTTACTTGTGTCTAATGCAGGAGTCTCTAACCCCGGGCCATGGACTAACACTAGCCCACCATAGCCTGTTAGGAACCAGGCTGCACAGCAGGAGGTGAGCAGTGGGTGAACCCGCATTACCATCTGAGCTCCGCTTCCTGTCTTATCAGTGGAGGCATTACAAGCGTGAACCCTATTGTGAACTCCACATGCGAAGGTAGAACAGTTTCATCTCCAGACCATCCCCCACCCTGCACCCCTTGTCCATGGGAAAATTGTATTCCACAAATCCCATCCCTGGTGCCAAAAAACGCTGGGGACCGCTAGTCTAATGGAAATTCATTTTCATGCAGAAAATAGTGTTTACAATGGTTAGTATTAAAAATCGGTATAAAGATGAAATTGAATGGGCAAGATTTCAGTTCCACAGTATTTGATAAAAGTTTCTTTCTCTATGGAACATGGCAAAATGTGTTAAGGAGAAGAAAAAAAGGCTTGTTTTCCTTTGGTGGCATCATGATGATTACTTACTACGGGACATTTTCATTACTTACATATGTTTGTTGCTTTTTGATTTGTTAAGTGTATGTGATTCAGCATCATTTTCTCTAATGCAAGATGACGAGAAAACCCTCAAACCACAGTGGGGTCTGCTGGGATAGCCTCTCGAAGTATTTGCATTTGTCAACCAAGTGTGGCATACTAAAAAGAAAAAAAAAAGGAGACTTTTTTAAAATAATAAAGTAGAAGTAACTCATCAATACTTTCAACAATAAATGCCAAAATTCAGTTTTCCATTAAAAGGTTTTTGTGAAGTTGAAGAAAATTATTTCATTTTAATGGTTTTTGTATTTTGTAACTTTAAAACTATTGGCAGATTTTAATTTTTTCCCTTAGAAAAGTTATATGTAGTTATTTCACTACCAATTTGAATTTACAGCGTATGCTTACTCTAATTACAAATTACTTTTCTAATTTAAACATTATGATCACTATATTCTTAGCATCTAGTAAGGTAGATAAATAGAAATGAATTTCAGCGATTTAGATATAATGTTAACATTCACACTCCTCCAATATTATTCAGATGACTAAGACATTTAGATTATCTTAATTCAATGGTATCTTAATGTTCATTAATATAGTTTTGTCACAGAGTCCAGCTGTAATTACTTATGTAATAAGTGAGTTAGTTGTAAAATATGTAATAAGTGACCGGGCATGGTGGCTCAGGTCTGTAATCCCAGCACTTTGGGAGGCCTAGGTGGGCAGATCACTTGAGCTCAGGAATTCGAGACCAGCCTGGGCAACATGACAAAACCCAGTCTCTACAAAACCATACAAAAACTAGCTGGGTGTGGTGGTGGGCGCCTGTAGTCCCTGCTACTGGAGAGGCTGAGGTGGGAGGATCGCTTGAGCCCAGGAGGCAGAGGTTGCAGCGAGCCAAAATCACACCAATGTACTCCAGCCTGGGTGACAGAGCGAGAGTCTGTTAAAAATAAAAGTACTATATGTCCTATTTATAAAAGAATTGTTTGGAGTTGCAAACATATTAAGTTATAACACAGATGGATTTGGTGATTGAATTTAATACACGGTGAGCAGGCCATTTTTACACAGGGCTAATTGCAATGCCATTTGAAGTAAGGAAGGTCCCCAAAAGTTAGGCCCTAAAGTCGTGTATTAAGCACAAAAAAGTAAGAAGAGGGTTTTGCAAAGTAAATTTTTGAAGGGGTAAAATCTCTGTTTTCTCTTCTTCTTAGCATAATTTTCTATGTCATAACTTCTCTGTGATCCTCACCTGGCCTCAGCTGCACCTCAGCCTCTACCTGCTGCTATCCATACATGCTCCTCCCCTGCTCCTGCTGCTCTGCCCTCCTCTGCTCTGCCTGCTGCCATCCATACAGGCTCCTCCCCTGCTTCTGCTGCTCTGCCCTCCTCCGCTCTGCTTTGGAGACCCACTGCACCTGGCCTGAGATTCTCAAGGACTCCTGTTAGAAACAATTTTTCTGCCCTCTTTTCTTCTTGCAAAATTTACCTGTCTAAAAGCCTACATCGGTAAATTTTCCAAATTTTTGTTAATAAAGCTTATCAAGAAAAAAATTTTGAGGATTCAACTTCAGAATATTATTTTTGGCTATTTGTACATTGGATGCATGAATTGCTGTACGAATATATGTGTTTCATAAAACATACAAAAATAAAAATTAAGGGTAACTGAGGAAAAAAGTTAAAACATACACAAATAAAAATTGAGGGTAACTGAGGAAAAAAGTTGTTAGTGAAACTTTATTCCTATACTCTGATAGAAGTCTAGTATTTCCTTTGTGGTCATACTCACTCTAGAGACAACTGCATAGACCATTATTTTGGGTACAGCCATGTGGTTGAAAATCAAATAAATTATTTCTTGTAGGATATTGATGAGAGCCATTGACTTAATGTCTTTCACTCTCCAGACATGGTTGTATTTGAATAAGAGTTTTTCTGCTAAAGATATGAAAAATTATGGTATCACAATCTGTGTGAAAACCCTGACAATGGAAATTTTTAAAGGGAAGCATTACCTCAAAGCCCCCTTTCCATAAACTTAAAATTGACCATAGAGACAGATATTTTTACAAGAAGATACAAATTTGAAAAAGAAGATGCTACCAATTAGGTGGGTATTGGAACATGTAAACACTTTTGGGGATATCTCTCTAAAAACAGTCCTTGGGTTGGAGTAGCAGAGAGTTATAATTTATGCTGAGAATTATTTTCTTCGTTTATTCTCTTTAAATTGCAGATATGTAAAATGGCTATAGCTTATAGTTTCAATATGGTTGCTACTTAAATATTTATAAAATTACAGTTTTTTCTAACTAAAAAGAACTTTAGATTTTATTTTATCCAACCTCTTTATTAGGCAGTAGAGGAATTTGAGAGTAGAGAGGTTAGTGGCCCTATTGAGGTCACAGAGGTACTGACAGGACTAAGGCTTTACAATCCAGCTCTTCTTCCTATAGGACCAGTAGGCCTTCTGTTCTCGATCAGCAGAAATATGAAGGGATCCTATCTGAAAAATGTTCTGAATTATATGTGCCTCTGCTTGCATTCAACTTGCTGCAGGGAGTGTCAACTGTAGATCCCATAGTTTAAAATCTCATCCATGTTACAGCTATGGTGGCTGGGATTTATAACTCAGAGAACAATTTTTCTAATCAGCCTTGATGAGTGGCGTAGGAATGAAGCATAAAGAGGAAAAAACTAGACCAAAACTTATGTATAGTAGAATCCAAGCATACAGAAACTTGGAAAGGCTCAAGCAGCCTGTAGAAAAATATGCTCTAGTTTTATGAATCTCTCTTGCAAAGAGAATATTTAGAGTCTTGTTTTCAAAGTATCTAAACTGGAATGGGATTTGGATGATCGAGAGCCAAGGCACTGTGGTGAAGACAAACAAGGAAGCATGCATGGATATACACTGACTCTGAATAACCGGTTATCGATTTGAATTAAACTTTGCAGAACCCCAAGGACTTTTTTAGAAGATGGAAACAAAATAAGGAATACTGTTTGCTGAGTACTTAGGATGCACCATGAACTGTTACCTTAAGGACATTGATTGGGTATCCTTTGATCTGCCATTTCTTTGGGTTAAAGACCCCTTTTCAGGTGCAACTACATGCCACACTCTAACATAACCATATATTTGTTACTTCCTATTGTCTGTTGCTCTTATTAGAATGTAGCCTCCCTCTTAGATATATATCTAAAAGAAATGAAGGCATATGTCCACATAAAAACTATTCACAAATGTTTTTAGCAGCATTTTTCATTGTAGTCAAAAAAGTAGAAAAAACTCAGTCTACCACCTGATGAACGGATAAACAAAATGTGGTACACCCATACAATAAAATATCATTCAGTGAGAAAAATGATGAAGTACTGATATATGTTACAACATGAAGAAACCTTGAAAATATTATGCTAAGTGAAAAGAGGTCAGTTACAAAATACTACACATTGTATAACTCCGTATATTAACTTGCTAGTATTGCCATAATAAAATATAATAATCTGGATGGCTTAAACATGAGAAAGTCATTTTCTCTCAGTTATGAATGCTAGAAGACCAGGATCAAGATGAGAGCAGGTCTGGTTTCACCAGAGGCCTCTCTCCTAGACCACCTCTTGCTGTGATCCTCACACGGCCTTACCTCCATCTACTTACGCCCCTGGTGTCTCTTCTTCTCATAAGGACACCGCCCCATTGGATTAGGGCCTCGTTCTTATGACGTCATTTAGTCTTAATTACTTTTTTAAAGGCCCTCTCTCCAAATACAGTCACATTCGAGGTTAGAGCTTCAACACACAAATTTTGGAGTAACAAAACTTGTTTCATAACACATTTATATGAGATATCCAAAATAGGAAAATCTACAGAAAGAGAATGTAAGTTTGTGGCTGTCCGGGTCTAGGGAAATGGGAAAATGAGAAAGGATTGCTAATGGATACAGGGTTTTTGGAGGGGGTGATGAAAATGTTCTTGAGTTAGACAATGGTGATGGCTGCAAAACTCTGTGAATACATTAAGCACCATTGAATCATACACCTTTAATGAGTAGATTTTATGGTATATAGATTATATCTCAATAAAGCTGCTTAAAATACAGTCTCAATGTGGTAAAGGCACATTTGGAGATAGAAACAACATCGGTTAATTTAACAAAGAGAATTTAATAAGTAATGAAGAACTGAGAAGACAAAAAAAAAGACTCTAAAGTATCACAAAAGTAGCAACTGCCACCCTTAGAGCTGGGGAAACAGAGAGGCTGGAATTATTAACATTTAGCAGCTTGGAGGAGATGAAATTTAGACCTTTAGGAAGGCACTCCCTGGCTGATGCTAGTGTCTCTGAGGAAAGGTGATGCAGATTCTTTGAGTCTTGCAAAAACTGTGACATGGAATCAAGTACTGCGGGTGGAACAAGCTGGCCCTGCTGGAGTGAGGGAGTGTTATGAGGAATGCTGTCAGAATCAGGAGGCAGACAGGAGGCAAGCAGGAAGGAGTGTGTGCTATCCTCCTCCATTTGCCTCCAGGTTCCTCAGGGAGCCCCTGTTTTTAGATCCTAATAGAGAGCATCTGGCAAAGGAGAAATGTAATTTGTAGGGTTCCAGCCCTAGCATCAGAAAGCTGATGATACAAGGGTGAGTTAGAATTCCAGAGACAATGGCTAAACTAATGACGCACAAGGTGTGGCTTAGCATAAACTACAGAATCTCTTCGGCCTTTTCCAACCCTAATGATTGTAGAGTCAAAGCGTTCATATATTAGAACAATGACCAAACGCTGGTACACCTGCAATCCAGTACAGTGGGTGATTGTCTAAGGTATTTCTCAGACCACTTTCAGGTATTCCCCTGAGTGTATCTTGCTGGGTGGTCAGAAAATTCGCTGGGTTTCTTGAGAAGCCTAATTAACCTGGCCACCCAGACACCTGTCTAGCTGTGCTGCTTTCTATCTCACTAGGCTGGAAGATGGCCAGATGTGCATAGGAAGCTGGGCAGCCTTAATCCCTTTGGTCTCCAAAATGCTACAGATTAAGTGAAATAGTTTTAAGACCCTTGTTTGCGTTTTCAACAACCTAGTCTTACATAATATGTATTTTAGGTATTGATACAATAAAAGAATTTCAAGAACAAGCTGAACTTTTGAGCTTCAATCTATATTACATGATAGCAAGCAGATACATATTGACAAACTTTTATAAGAAAACATTTACACTGAGTGCATATTATGCTATATATTTTTATGTAGTGATTTTCCGGCTACCATATTTTTAATGCATCCATTTTGGAGTAAGGATAGAGCTTTATTCTAATATTAGGTTGTTAATATGGGGAGCTAGAATGCCAAATGCTTTTTTGTTTATGAAAGGATGATGAGAGTAGGTGGTAGTTTTTATTTTTGTTTATTATAGTGCCATTTTGTGGAAACATTAAAAAGGCTACTCTGTATCAGCCTATCTCTATTTCTTTAATTTTTCATTTGCACACATGGCAAAGTTTGTGTATTCCAGTAGCCAAACTTGAAATGACTTGTCCAGTGTTCTGAATGTTTCTTTCTTCTCTTCATTTTTCTCCCATACACCAACATGGCAGACATGAAGAACTGCTCTGTATTTCCTGAATACCTTTTTGGGGCCAAGGGTCTGTGCCAGCATATCTGAGGATCCCTCTAGTTTCAGGCAGCTAGGAGTTCCAGGGAGCATTCTGTACTATGAAGTTGGTTCACAGCGTTTTTTTTAATAATACCTTTGTTCTGCTTATTTTCATGGTCTTTCCTATGCTCTCTTCCTATCCTTTTCTTTCTCCTTTCCTTTAGGGATTCCAGAATATCAGGAAGCAATTCTCATTTTTTCATAGTGCAAGAATCCTACCCAGGTTTTATTTCTTTTCTAGTTAAGTCACTATTGGGCTTGTAGAAGTCAGGGTTTATTACTGCATGTAAAATACTTATGACTAAAGCTTCCATTTTCATTTAAATGAGTCTATCAATATAAAAAGAATTTTTTACATTCAAATTCAAAATTATCAAAATATGACAATGCTATGGCTTACAAAAATTTACTCAGCTTTATATTTACTTGGCAAGCTCTCAGACCCATTGTCACATCATTACCTAAAACTTTGATCTATAGTTCAGAATTTATCTGATTTGGGAACTCTGATGGAATAGGCTCACTTTGAGGTCTTTGTACATAAGATGCTGGGCTTGAATTGTGTCCTCTGTTTTCAGCCCACATCTTTATGTGGTTGGGCTGCTGTGTTTTGTACCAGTGGAAAGCTTCTGGGTGGTCTGCCAAGGGGATCTAGACAAAGCTCCCACAGGAATCTGGTCTGGAGGTCACAAAGGCTTGGGATCTGAGGACAAGCTCCATAAAAAAGAGACAATGTTCTAACATGATTGTAAAACACAGACACAAAAAAGTATTTTCAGCCATTGAAGCCACTTGAAAATCCAGTAGCATCTGATTGAATAGCATCTAGTCTGCAAACTCCAGATGTAAAGAGAAAACCCATTCTTTTAATTAGGGTACCAGAATCCCTGGATCACACCATTGTGCGCCCAACTGGCATTTTTCACTTCCTCAGTTTGCAAACTCAGGAAGGTTTAAGTATGTTAGTCTAGTCTTCTACAAAATTAGCACAAAGCACAATATCAATTCATACATATAGCTTATCCATTTGGTCTTTCTATTTATAACACAGGATTATAAATTCTATTCATCTAATGATATAATAGATAAAACACAATTTCCTTTTGAGGGCAATAATTACTACTCAGGCAAAGGAAGTGGTTGCTTGTCAAGAGATAGTTTATCTTCTAGCATTTAAGAAAATTATCTTATCTATTTTTTCATAGCAGTAGTACATTTCTGAGGATTTCCCAGGGTAAATAGTGCCACATGGGACAGGTATTAGACTTGCATGTGTGATGCTGTTATATATGTATCTATCATTTCTCTGTTTTTAAGAGAATCTGAGATATTAAGTGGCTGATGAAAAAGGCATAGGTTTATCTTTTTGAAATGACAGAGTTATCAGGGGATCACCACTATGACTTAAGTATTAGCAATAAAGATTCCACCTTGCTCATTACAGTCATTTCAGTCCTTTAATTGAGATACATTATCAAAAACAAAGATAGGATTTGGGACACTGTGAGACCAACTGCTTCATGTTTTCAGAGATTTAAAGTATACGTCCCTTTTGGTACTCAACATGTATATTTCAGAAATGAACTAGGTTTTATAAAATGAGTTTCTGGACTAGATGATCTCTAATAATCTTTCCAGACCTCCAATTTTATGCATTTATGTGGCATTCCTAATAGGGACTTGTATGTATCTCTGATGTAAAGTTATCTTGTTAGGACTATAACTATTTTTAAAAGTATGTAATTTCCCCTCAGAGGTCATGTTAGTTTTTTAAATAAACTGCTCAGCAACCAAAATTTACATTTTGCTGATAAATTTGCCAGGAAGACAATTTCACTATTTATATTATAATTTCAATTTCTACTCATTCACAGCTTATTACAAAATGTAACTTAGAGCCATTTGTATGTGGTGCTAGAATCAGTGAGATAGTATTGTGTAGGACTAATACTTCTAACTTCTCTGCCAGACTTTGGAAATCAATGTTCATTTCACACCCACTCCCTCTCCCCCAATAGTGCTCAACAAATACCAATGCTGGGAGAGATGACCCCTTTTAATTCCTTAATATAGGCCACAGTTCTCTTTGATTTATAGAAGACTGGTAGACTATTTATAAAATATGTATCTGCAAGATGCAGTTTATGAGAAACTTGGCTTTTGGGACACATTAATTCTAACTGCAGATGCAACTTTCATGTTTTATAATATAACCCTGACAGCTGTAATTTCAGATTAAAGATTTTTCATTCACATTCCCATCCTGATTGCTCTGCACGGTCCTTATATTACCTTATTGTCAATAGCAAGTGTTCACCCTATTGGGAGTCATTTAATAACCAGCTGCCATTTAAAATGTGGACAGAACATTTGTCTCAGCCAGGCCATCTCAAGTAGAGTTCCTCAGCATACAGAGCTGGGACCTCTTCAAGAAAAACAACAGCTGGCCTTCGCTATTGTCCCAACTTTTCCTTTTTTGTGGAGGCCAGTTAAAATAAACACGGACACTCTTGGTGAATTTTCTGAATGCATTTGTGAGTTTGTTATTTTAGTAACCAAATCGTTCCCTCTGTCAGTCTCACCCCCAATCCTTTATCCCACTCTGACCCCATCCACTTCATAGCCCAGGCTTTCATTCTTTCCTGAGTTCTATCAATGTATATTCCTCTTAAAGTCACTTATATTGGTTACGCAGAATTGAGCAACATGAAAATTGTAGGTTTAGTAGATATCATAAAACATCTGCTTTTCAGGAGGCGAATATATCAGTTTTTATAGATTATGTGTTGTAAATGATCAGACTGTAATTAAGAATAATATTAATTATAACAACAAGACAATCTTCCAGGAATAGAATTACAAATCCTGGTTTGTCTATGAAATCTTTGTGTCCGTTGATATATGAAAATGAATTCATGATTGGTAATGTTTGTATTTAGTGTCTGCCTTTAAATTTCCTTAACTTGACAGCTGGGGATTAGCAACTACAATAGGCAGCGGTGGTAAAAGGAAATAAAAATGAAAAGTAAAGGAAGGCTTAAAAAAAATGGACTCTTTCATGGCTAATTAAACCAGAATACAAATCAATCATTGGAAATAAGTGATGAATTTATTATGCTTGAAGGCTCACTATACCCTGTAGTGTTTGCTATACACTGAAATTACAATTCTCATCAGCTTATAGGGTAATCATTTACCTTCAGCTTTACCTTTATCTATCATATTGATCTGAGACTCAGGCAAGGAATGGAAGGTTGGCAGTCTAAGTAAGTGTGGGGAGTTAAAGTGTCTCAGCTAAGAAACATAGGAACCTCTGCCTAGCAGATGAAGACTTTACTTTATTCTCATTTCAAATGTTAGTAAAGTATCTCAGTCCTACGTCCACAGGCATATTTAATTCAATAGATGGTAGAGGTGGAAGTTGGGGAATGGTGGCCCCTGGATTTTTCAATTGATTATATCACCTTTACATGCTCCTGGGCTTAATGCAGACTGACAGTTAGGTTTTGGACTGTATTATCAACAGTTATTGGGAAAGGGTTGCAATGTTAAATTCATGCTGGCCTGTAATCCTGGCGTTTTGGGAGGCTGAGGTGGGCAGATTGCTTGAGTGCAGGAGTTTGAGACTAGCCTGGGCAACCACGGCAAAACCCCGTCTTTACAAAAAAATACAGAAAGTAGCCAGGCATGGCAGCCGGCACCTGTGATCCCAGCTACTAGGGAGGCTGAGGTGGAAGGATCGCTTGAACCTGGGAGGTGGAGGTTGCAGTGAGCCACGATCGCACCACTGCTGGGCGACAAAGTGAGACACTGTCTCGGAAAAAAAAAAAAAAAAAAAAAAAAAAAAAAAAAAAAAAAAAAAAAAAAGGCCCAATAGTCAAACATTAAATTAAGATTGAAATACTTTGAAAATACTTTGAAATACTTTTTTTTCTGTTTATTTTGTGATATTTGATCTCACAGCCACTTCTACATGTAATTTGTCTTCTGGGTAGACTATAATAATAAACTTTTTTTCTTTTTCTTGAGAGTCTTGCATACTTTTCACATAATGACATGGTTTTTCTTTTTACAAATGTCACGAGCATATCATGACGGACCATTTAGACCTCTAAATTGGCTCTTGATTTTTGCACTGAAAGAATATAATGGCACACAATGTTTCCAAAATAAAAATATGTTGAGTTTATGAATATTTCTCTAGATGTATGTAAATATCTAAAAATTTTGTAAAATGAGAACCAGGTATCCTTTCATAGATACAAGATGAAACATAAGCATGTGACTGACTAAAGCCTAAGGAATGGCAAAAAAAAAAAAGAAAAAATATGTGATTACCTGTGCTTCATAATAAAGGATTGCTGACCTTCTTAATTTGCCCCCTTGCCGATGTGAGATTCACAGACTGGCTCCTACAAGTGAATATTACTTCTTCTGTAGGGATAGTGCCATAACTAAGCTGTTGAACTCTCACCCCTATAAGGCACTTATCTCTCTCTGCTCCAGCTCCATGACCTTGCCCATGGGGCTACCAGGACTTCTCTTGGTTGTCTCAATGCACCTCATATATTAGCCACTATATGCTCTTTCAGAGTGAAAGACCATCACCCAAAACTTGGCCCAACTCTTCTATGTGTCATCATCTGAGGGCAGCAATAAAGAACTAGGCCAGATGCATCCACTAGAAGAAACCATGGTCTGAAACATCTGCATTTCAAATCCAGCTCTAGATGAATAATAAATCGAGATGTCTCTGACTTAAATTGGAAAAGAGGTCCCATGACTAATCATGCCTCTTAGAGTAAAAAAAAAAAAATAAGATCATCTTCATTTTCTGCCTTTGCACTTCAGTGCTTACCTGCAGATGGTTAAATACAATTGAGAAAGTAGTTGTTTTAAGCAAGGCCATGAATATTTACCTTCATTTTTTTCTTGTTTTATTAAAAAGAGAAAAGTAAAACAAGTTACTTTTTAAAAATTTAAAGTAGAGAAGGTGCAGCACAGAAAAAAAAAACCCTATAAAAAGGCAGACCTGTAACATCTAAATTAAATAAAAATTTAGAAGGACCAGGCCTTCCAGTGATGGCTGTTTCATTATTTACTGTAAACAAAGTACGGAGACCTCTGGAGGCTAATGGTGCTGTTGATTGGTGTTTACTCATCCCAGCAGGATCTGGTTTCTGATAATCTAGGACTTCTGTGTACTGATGAGTGTAGGCTGGTGGTGAACTAGTAGAGCCCACTTCAAGGTAGGAGAGAATGGCTTGTAAGTTCTTTGTGGCTAGGTTGAGCTGAAAGACTTTGTTTATTTAGAATTCCTCCCAAGTCCTCTAGGACCCTAGCAAGGGCTGCAGAAGTCAAATTTCCTAACGTCCTGTGTGTCTTTGTAGAAGAATCTGGTTGGTAAAAGGCTAAATAAGAAATCTACCACATTCTTCAAAGGAGCCCAGGACATTTTATCAGATATTTATTGTTTCCTTTTACATAGTGATGTTTTGGTAGATTGTCGTTTAAGCATAAGCTATTTCAAACTGAACGAGGACAATTATTAACATTTGCTCTAAGAGTGAATTTTTCAGAAAAAAACAAAGGTAATCTACATTTTGACGACATTTTAATTTTCTTTGCTTTCATGGCCTTTTAGGTTTAAGACCTAAAAGCAGATATTAAGATGATTTTGACAAGTTCTGCCACAGAAACTTGGAGCTTCGTTATAAGTAAGCTCCCATGAGAAAGTTTATTCCCTCATGGTGGTTGTTCTGGATAAGAAATATAACTTTTGGATGCTTAACCCAATGATGATCCCAACTTTTTGTGGTCTGACGACCATTGATTATGTGATTTCTGTCTTAGAACCACGGAGATGGTGTATGCAATAATGGCTTTGGATAAACTCAGTGACATTACACTTAAACCATAGTGAGTGCTAATACCTAGTAGCTATTTGATCTTGTCAGAATCATTTCTTTTCTGCCTCCAACCGAATTACCACAGTTCTGCTTCTCCACCAAAAGGAATGAGACACTGCTTTCCATTTATCCAATTAGGCTTTGCTGAGGATCACATTTTGATTGAAATGCAAAATTTGAAAGCCCACTGATTTGTTACAATTTCAGTAGTTTCAACACATATATTTTAAGCTTGCTGCAGTTTAGAGAAAGATGTTTCACATTTCTTATCATTTTGTTGTGTCTTTATCATTCATCATTAATAGTCTTAATTAAATTTACCATATTTCTCTTTCAGAATCTGTGTTTAAAAAGAAGTTATAGCTTAAAAGATGGTATATAACTAGTATAAGAGTAAAACAGTTCTCTCAATCTGTTTCTTTGTCCCAGAATGACATTTTATGACTATCAAATACATATATCCCTTCTTAGTGAATGTTAGTTTTTTAAAAAATATTGATAGAAGTGGACAAAGGTTAACCAGTAATTTAAAAAATTAATTTGCTGATTGTGTAAGAAAAGATAAATCTTATATCTATTAATCCATCAAGAAGTGTTTATTGAGCAGCTACCATTATATCTAAAATGGTGACAGATATTGTGCAAAGTAAAGGAAAAGAATATTCTGGATTCTCTCAAGGGAACCACATGAGGCAGACATGACACATAGGAAAACACTGGATAACACAGACAAGCACATAAGTGCATGCTGGGTTACGCAGTTGAGCTAATTAGCAAGACAGAAATTCAGTGATGAGCATGGGCTAAGGAGAAGTTGTTTGGAAGAAGCAGAGTGGGGAATAAACCTTCACAAAAGGCCTGAATTAGAGAAGAGAGGAAGAGGCAAAATGTGGGTCACACATGCTATGTGATCAGAAGCCAATAAAAAGGAACTAGTCTGAAGAGAAGAGCTAGTTTTAAGAAAAAGTGTTCGGATAGCTAGCAGGATTGAAATCCAGAAACAGAATTTTCATTTTGTGTATTTGTTAAGAGGGAGGCACTGCTGGCTTTGAGGCAGAGAAGTAAAACTCCATAAAAATATGTAGAATATGTAATTTGAATAAGGGAAAAATCTAGGGCCAGTGAATAGGAAGGCTTAAGCATAGATGGGCAATGGAGATTGAGCAAAAACTATTTGTACAGGATTAATTTTGCATTTAAATATGTTTTAGTTTTATTATTGAATATTCACATTAAAGAACTGAAATTTGTTATGCTTTGCTTTTCTATAACTTTTTAGCTTGATTTTTTAAATAATATTCCAAAACTACATTGACATGTTTTTTAAGTTTTATAGTTATGTTATAATAATGACATACCTACACTGAAGACATTTTAAAAAATACTAAACCAGTAAAAACATAAATTAAAATCACATAAAATTCCACTTTACTTTGAAATCATTACCATTAATATTATAGCATACAATTTTTAAGTTACTTCTGTACTCACATTTTTGCTGTCAAAAAATAGCATAATACAATACCCTTATTCTATAGTCTCCTTTTTTAAACTGGAGTATATAATGAACTTTTTCCTGTGACATTTCAATAGTATTCTATAATGCCAATTTAAATGGTTATATTGTACTGCATGGTAGAAATAGACCATGTTTATTTCCTTAGTGTCCTACTCTTGAGTTTTAAGTAGTTGCCAAGTTTTCTTATGAAAATGGTTGCATAAACATCCTTGTAGCTAGATCTTTGAGTGCATACAAGATAATTGTTGATATTATAGTGAAGTCAAAATTATTTATTAACATTTGGCTTAAAAATAAACACACTAGTAATTTAGATTTTTTTAAAGCAGGTTACTAAAGTTCCTGCCATGTGCAATTTGCACTGCTAGGTGTCATGTAAAATGAATTATACAAGTTAAAACCCATACTGTTATATAGTACCAGATAGGATGCCCAAGATACAGCCTGCCCAATTCATACTCTAGGAATGGAAAATTTTGATTTTAGAGAACACTAAAAAATGAGTTGGGAGGGTAGTTTTGGACCCACCCTCAGGTAGTAGTGGTGTGATTATAGACTAAGGAGTTTATAAATGATTCAACCAATTAAGATTTTAAAAACATATCTTTTGTACATTTAAAATGCTTTAAGGCAGAGTGATGAAGGTATGAAGACTGAAGTGAAGAGAAGAATATTTACAGCTAGGGATACAAAATGGAAGGTTACTGCCATTTTGTAAGGTGTGTGACCATGGGGTCATGGAGATACAAACTGTCAGGGAGGAAGAGGCAGGCATAACTGAAAGAGAACCTTCAGTTAATGTAGCTCTCAGTTTTCTTGATCTGGGAGGACTGGAGCCAAAGACATAATCTCCAATAACCACAGCAAAGGCAGTGGAGGGACTGAGTGGGAAACCGCTAGATCTGCAATCAGTTGTAATGGAAGAACCAAAGTTTTCTTTGAAACTTAGAATAGCATAATGAAGTAGGATGAACATATTCTTTGTAAGATGTTCAAAACTCCTCAAATCATGTAACAAATTAAGGAAAAAAAACCAGGAAAGAAGCATTAAAGAATAAATTCTGGTATTAGTAAAGTTCTAAAATAATTCGTTTTTATATGATTTACATGCTCTTGCTTTGCATATTATTTTAATAAACAGATTCACTCTATGTCAAGCATTTACATTAACTTTTTCCAGTAGTCTAACGGCTATTGAAACCAGAATCTCCCGACAATAAAAAAACTTTCTTTTAATTGTTTTCTACTAATATTTTTTACACATTTACCCAACACAAACTTCTCATTCTCTGCTCAAGTTTATCTTGTCCTTATTTTAAAAAGTAAAAGCTATTTTTTATTGGGTACTTATTATGTACCAGACAGGTGCGAAATATTCTATGGGAAAATTATCTTGTTTACACTTAATGTCATGGAACTTGTTTTTGAAAAATGCTTTGCAACTGCTGCCATTGCTATTAGCTAGAGAGTATGAAAACAGAGTTATGGAATGGATAGTTCTGAAATCTTACTTTAATGTGACTATCCCCTCGTGTCTATTTAATCTCTCTTTATCTGGATACATGGCTATGATAATTAATTTCTACTGAGTTCTAAGGGATGCTATCATAGAGCCATTTAAAAACTTTACTATGGGCTTATATTATCATTGCTTTTTGAATAATTGTAATAGCATGTCCATGATATTGCAATTGTTTTTACCTTTAATAGTGAAGAAATTTTAAATATATGATTCATTTGCAAATATAAATGCACAGCATAATGCAAATTATGTAATGAATTTGGCTTTTGGAAGTAGGGTTATACCAAGACCTAAATAAATGCCTTTGTGTTTGAGCGATGAAGTGATCAAACTATCTTCTGCCTTCTTTCAGCTGAGTTTCCTTTCCCATGGAAGTTTCCCTCTCTCCTGGAGAAAATTTGGCTGTAAAAGATGTGCATGCAAATGTCCACAGGTGTTGAGCCTATAGCATAATGTCAGGCACGCAAATGAACAGCACAGGAGCTTAGTAAACTATACATGCATCTGCAAATAATTGCCCATGGTTACTGAAATTGGGCCAACAGTGTTTTGTTTTGTTTTTTTTCTTAAAGACCCTATGTATATGTTGCTCTTAACTTGCTCCAGATTTTGTTTCTAAGTTGCACCCACAATTTCTAAAGGTACAGACAAGAATAAGACCGCCTTTTTTCTATAGAATATTTCATATACTTGAGACCCAGAAATATGTAAATCTTTTTTCTATGTTAAGCTTACAGAGATTTTATGTGTATGATTTAAGCTTAATGTATAGGAAAAATATTGAAAAAGAATGCTTGCATCTTTTGCACCATAAGTCTTTAAGACACTATTCATTCTGTGGTTCAACTCTTCCTGAGTAAAGACCTACAAGATAAATTTCTTTTAGAACTTAGCTGCAGCAGAAAAACAAAGTTCACCTTAAAAATTAACAGCTATGCTTCATTATATTGGCCAAGAGAATTAGACATTTCAATTTTTCCTAGTCATTTGGCTCAGTGTAATGTAGACAGGTTATATGTGAGAGAGATATATATATTTTATATATATATATATATATATAATTTCATTTTAATCCTTCAGTTCAAGTCAATACAAAATGACACAGCGACATAATTGGAAAACACATTCATTAGGAAGACTGATAGTAACATCCTATCATGGGAACTGCAGTACTCCTATTTCTATCCAAGAACTCACTCGGAATTGTTAAAGATGTTATGCTCACTGCCCTCATTCTCACTCCCAGTGTTGCTTTCTATGTTAGGTCTCCATTATTTTATACACTCGTCTCCTTCATTCCAGTCTGTTTCCTTTGAAGCCATCCAAAATATTACCACAGGTTTTCTCTATAATGGAAATCTTTGCATTTCTCTCACTTGCTTTTGAGCCATAAATGACTCCCCAAGGATCTACCATAAAATAAAGGGTTGTGGGATGATTTGTAGCTGTTATATCAAAAAAGCATTCTCTATTCAAATACATTGGAAAGTTTTTTGGAGTTAAATGGATTTCTTTATTGCAAGACTACTCAGAGCCTTTAGTGTTCTAAGGTTGATGGGAACCACAGAGAGAGCTATAGAAAGGTATGTATAATTTCTCAGACATATGTATACATAGTACCCTTTTTTGTGGAGGTTTGGGGGCACAAATGGGTGGAGAACTACTCTTTGGGAAACAGGTAACTGCAAAAAGAATTTCCAAGTCCTTCTTCTTACAGAGAGTATCCTCTACACCCTCATCCCATCTGCTTTCTCAGCCTCATCTTGGCCATAATATACACTGTACTTAAGCTGGAGTATTTGCTATTTCTGGGCCACATCATGCTTTCTCATCTCGGTGTGAGTTTATACTGTTTTATTTGCTTATGAACACATTTCCTCCTTTCTGCTAGTGTATTAGTCCATTCTCATACTTCTGTAAAGAACTGTCTGGGACTGGGAAATTTATAAAGGAAAGAGGTTTAATTAACTCACAGTTCAGCATGGCTGGGGAGGCCTCAGGAAATTTACAATCATGGCAGAAGGTGAAGGAGGAAGCAAGGCACCTTCTTCACAAAGCAGCAGGAAGGACAAGTGCAGACTGAATGGGGCAAGAGCCCCCTATAAAGCCGTCAGGTTTTGTGAGAACTCACTCACTATCATAAGAATAGCATGGAGGAAACCCTCCCCCCAACCATGATGCAATTACCTCCACCTGGTCTCTCCTTTAACACCTGGGGATTATGGGGATTACAGGGATTATAATTCAAGATGAGATTTGGGTGGAGACACAAAGCCTAACCATATCAGCATGTAAAATTCATTGTCATTCTTCAAGATCCAGTTCAGATTTCTCCATTTCTATGAAGAATTTCTTCTTCTTTTTCTAAGGCAGAACTATTCCCTCCTTCTTCCTGTTGTCACTGAACTTTTTCTCAAGCTTCTATTATTGAATGAATCACTGTACATTATTCATTTATTTCATCACACAAATCTTTTATTTTTATAAAGAAAGCACACTCACAATTTAAACTTCCTATTAAATGTAAAGATGAATATGGGTTAGCTAGTCTCCATTGATGCTCCTCTCCTCAATGAACCACACATACAAGATTTCATACCACCGAGTACTCTCTTACCCCTTGTAGCTGGGCTAGCCCTGTAATTTGCTGTTGATCACTAGACTCTTGTAAAAAGATACTACATAACTTTGGAGGCTAGTCATAAAAAGCCTTGCATTTTTCAAATGGATCTCATGGAATGCTCATTCTAGGGGAAGCTAAACACCATGTAAGAAGGATGACTACTGTGAGACCACTGTGATGTGAGGAAGTTCAGGCTAGTTATGTGACGAGAGACAGAGAAAGAAAGAGAGAGAGAGAGCCCAGACAGCACTGTGCTCTTCCAGACATTCCAGACAAGGTACCAGACATGTGAAAGAACTTATTTTGTATCTCCAGCCCAAACACTATCTAACTGCAACTGCAAATTCATGACAGCTGTCCAGCTGAGTCCAGTCAATTTGGAAGTGGGATAATGTACACACACACACACACACACACACACACACACACACACACACACACACCGCATTCCCTTTAGGACCAGTTGAGGGTGGAAGCTGAAAGTAGGTTAAGGAGACTATTAGTAAAGTCTGTCTTAAAAATGTCAGCGGATTTCTTTTAGTTGTGCATTTTAATATTCAGGAAAAGACATAGAAAAAAAGAAAAAAAATCTGTTCAGTTTTCAAGTAAAATCTAGAGGAAGCATTTCTGAGACAATTACTTGCTAGATTCAAAAATAAAACCATTTCTCTTTTCCGTCTTCTCCAACCAGCAAGAGGCTCTTAAAAGAAGAAATGCCTCAGGTAAGGATAAAAACTAGGGTGCTACCAGGAAAACATCATCTTAGGGTAAATATTTCAAGATTCTTTGTTAAGAATTCAAAGATGTTTACAGTGTGCTTGGTAGGTCCCTCAGGTAGAACATGTATTGACAAATTTTTTTTATTATTATTATAAAGAGCCAGATAGTAAATATTTTGGGTTTTGCAGGCTACATAAGATCTTTGTCCTATATTCTTTGCTGTTTGTTTGTTTGTTTACTGTGGTACAATATACAGAACATGTAATTTATCATTAGAGACATATAGCGCATTCATAGTGTCATGTAACCTTCATCACTATCTAGTTACAGAACATTGTTATCACTCCAAAAGAAAAACCCACACTCATTGAGCTGTCATTTTCCATTCTCTACTCCTCCCTGCACTGACAATCACTAAACTGCTTTCTGACTCTATGGATTTTCCTTCTCTGGATATGTTATATCAATGGAATCATACGTTACGGGGTCTTTGTGTCTGCTTTCTTTTATTTAACATAATACTTTCAAGGATCATTCCAGCTGCAGCATGTGTCAGTATTTCATTACTTTTTATAGCTGAATAATACATATTCAATGGTATGAATATACATCATTTTGCTTATTCATTCATCAGTCCATGGACATTTGGTTGTTTCTACCTTTTGGCTATTATGTATAATGCTGCTATGACCATTCATGCACAAATTTTTCTTTGAGCTCCTTTTTAATTATTTTGGGTATATACTCGGGAGTGGAATTGCTGAGTCATATGGCAATTCTGTTTACTGTAGAACTGCCAAATTGTTTTCCACAGTCACTGCACAATTTTACATTTCCATCAACAATGTATGAGTTTTCTAATTTCTTCATGTCTTTGGCAACACTTGTTATTTTGTTTTGTTTTATTTTTTAGTCTAGCTATCCCAAAGGGTGTAGAGTTGTATCTCATGGTGGTTTTAATTTGCATTTCTCTAATGGCTAATGACACTGTGCTTCTTTTCATGTACTTGTTGGATATTTGTATATGTTCTTTAGTAAAATGTCTATTCAAATCCTTTATTCATTTTCAAAATTAGGTTGTTTGCATTTTTGTCATTTAATTGTAAGAGTTTTTATTTTAAATATATTCTAGATATTAAACCCTTGTTAGATATATTATTTGAAAATATTTTCTCTCATTCTGTGGGTTATCCTTTTTCTCTTTTGATAATGTCTTTTGATGCATAAAAGTTTTACATTCTGTGAAGTATAATTTATGTGCACAGAAGTTTTAAATTTGTATGAAGTATAATTTTTCTGTGTTTTCTTTTATTGCCTGTCCTTTTGACATCATATTTAAGAAACCACTGCCAAATCCAAGGTCATGAAGATTACTCCTTTGTTTTCTTCTAATACTTTAAAAATTTTAGCTTATATTGTGTCTTTGATTCATTTTCGGTCAATTTTCATGGATACTATGAGATAGGAATCCAACTTTAATTTTTTGCGTGTGGCTATCGAGTTGTCTTAGCACCATGGCCTCCTCCCCACGTTGAATAGTGTTAGAACTCTTGTTTAAAATCAATTGACCATAGATGTATGGGTTTATTTCTGGACTTGTTTCAGTTTACTTCCAATGATTTATATGTCTATCCTTATGCCAGTATAACAATGTTTTTATTACTGTAGGTTTATGGTATGTTTGAAATTGGAAAGTGTGGAGTCTCCAACTTTGTGCTCCTTTTTAAAGATTGTTTAGGCTATTTGTGATTCTTACAATTCCACATACATTTTAGGATCAGTCTTCCAATTTTTGCCACAAAGGATACTGGGATTTTGATTAAGATTGTATATTAAATTTGTGGATTGCTTTGTGTAGTGTTACCATCTGAACAATTTTAAGTTTTCTAATCCATGAACATGGGATGTTGTTCCATTTATTTAGGAATTCTTTAATTTATTTCAACAATATTTTGTTGTTTTCAGTGTACTATTATTTGTGTTTTACAATCCTTTCAAAATGTAAAAAATAATATTCTTAACTTGCAGGCCTAACGAAAACAGGCTGTGGGTTAGATTAGGTCTATGGGCCATGGTTTGCCAAACCCTGAGATAGACAAAAAGCCTTCTAAGAATCTTAAGTACGTGCCTCTTAAATTTCTATGGTAGAAAATTAGGTTTCTAAGGATCTTAGATATGTTTTCCCACAGTACGTTGACTCTCATCCCAAAGAGAAAAAGGAGCCTCTTGAAGAGATTTTTGGTTTTGTCATTTGTTTGATGGATTAGACTATAATTTTACACACAGGAAGCCCACAGTATTTTTAAAGCAATTATACCATCTTGAACCAAAAGAAATAGATGAAGTTCAAAACAAAGAGACACTTTGTGGCCCCAAATTTTTACAGGTAAGAAACAGAAAAAGCTACTCTGTTGCAAACATGGGCCACTGCTTATCAAAGTGAACACTGATGGGCGGAACCAAAAACAAGAGAGTGGCACTAAAAATCAGTGAGAACCATCATCAAGAGTAGGAAATGGGTTCTGCTCAAGGAATTGGCAACATTTGCTTAATTTCAGAATTTTCATAGACCAGTTACCCCCCGCCTCTATTTTTAATGACAGTGTTGATTGCAGCTTCACTGGACCATGTGTGCCCATTGTATATTTGACAAGTGGGGAGGTGGGATTGACAACTTTTCTTTTTAGTGTGCATGTCTTTAGACTGAGAGGGATACACATAAGGACTTTCAATGACATGTGAATCTTATTTAAATGAAGTAATCTTAGACTTCAGTCTGATTCTGTGATGGAATGAGACTTTTGGTGACCTTGTGAAGGGAGTGTATATATTCTGCAAGTGGGAGGAATGTAAATAATTTGTGGCCAAAGTGATAAAAGATGATCACAAATTCTTTGTCATATTTCCCATAAGGAGAAATTCATCCCACTCATTACTCATTAAATCTGGGTTGGCCATGGGCTGCTTAACCAATATATTAGGTGGTAGTGGAAGTGACACTGACTCAGTTTCACTCCCAAGCCTTAAGAAGGCCAGAGGGTATGGCTTTTGTACTATGGGAGAGCAATGAGTCTTCACATAAGAAGAGGGATCACATGGAGAAGAGTGACTTGACACTATAGATGAGGAGAGAGGCTTAGTCACCCTGTGTCTGGCAACTCATTTGAGTGTCTCTAATACCTTTAGTCACACTACTATCTGACTGCAATTGCTTGAGAAACTCCAGAGAGCCCAACAGGAAAAAATTGCTTAGTTGAGCTCAATTAATCTATAGAATCACGAGAGATTAAAAAAAATGTTTTACATTAAGCCACTAAACTAAATTTGAAGGTAAATTGTTGTGCAACAAGAGATAACCCAAACACTTGGGAAAACTTCTAAGCCCATATAGATAGGAAAAATGAATGCAGCCACTTAGGTAACAAGAATGAAGCTACTAATTCTAGAAGAATGACTACATGTCCAATATGGATAGCAAAACTTAGACACAAAGGAATGATAATTTCATACGTATCACCATCTGTCTTAGATAACTAGAAGCAGGCAAAGAGTGTATGTCTCAGTGAGGCTCATGCAACTGCATCCATTTCCCGCATCCACTTTTTTTCAGAATCAATCAGAAACTGGATTCCTTTTGAAATAGCTGAAGGAAGATGTCTGAGCGTTTAACTTAGAAGTTTCTCCTGAAGTTAACAGTGAGGCTAATAATGTCTATTCCATTGAGATCTATAGAGCAGCACCAAAGCACGGAGAAGAAGGAGGGCATATCACTAACAGTTTATGTAATATCTGATATATTTGTATCTGAGTAGCCTGGTAATGTAATCAGTTCCACCTCCCATAAACTTAGTCCAAAATCTTACCATTGACATTAGCCAAAGAACAACTAGACATATGAGTCTCCCAGCGCTTCTGGTCTCATCTGATGGGTTATGTGTCCTGTGGTTTTCTACCATAGTGGAAATCAACATTTCCTCAGATAAGCATATTTCTAGATCAATTTAGAAAGTCCCATAATTTTTTGTTTTTATTTTTTGGTAGTGGTGTTAGTGGAGTTTTGGACTTAGAAATTGCTATTTATTTATTTATTTTTCTGACTCTATCAGACAGAGGCCCTATTCTTTCTGACACAAGCAGTCTTTATTTAGGGACTCCAACAATTGGTGGAAACTCTGGAGGACTAATCTACTCAGCAGAGTCTGTGTCCTAGTGTATCTTTTACAAGAAGACTGAGTCTCTGTGCATTTACTTCAGTAGGTCTGTGGTAATGCCATCCCTGGCCAGAACTTTCTCTTATGAGTTTCTTGAATGAAAACCATCAAGTGCTTAATCTGCTTTTGCATATAGTCATTGCTGAAGGATATGGTGAAAGTAATCCTAGCCCAGTGGATCACAGACTCGAGTTGACATTTGAAGTGAGTAGTAGAAAGAGGGAGAAAGAAAATTAATCTAAAACTGGCCTTTGTTGGCATTTTAAAGTAATTATATATAAATGCTTGTCTATCTTGCTATACTGTGAGCTACTTAACAATAATTCCATGTTAGCCAATTTTGAGGTTCCTAGTATTTATCACAAGGAACTGACAAGTAATCTTGTTAAATTATAACCAGTATATTGTAGTGGTTAAAAGTATGGACCCTGGAAGCAGACTGCCTGGGTTCAAGTTCCTGCTCTACTAATTTCAAGCTGTGCGTTCTTGGACCAGTTACTTAACATTTCTGGGGCCTTTGTTTCTTCTCCTGTAAAATGGGAATTATGAACTCATCTCCTAGGATTGTTGTGAGAATTAAATGAAGTAATGTACACCAATTGCTTAGAAAATTGGCTGGCACAAAATAAGCACTATAAAACATTATCTATTATTATTGTTAACATAAAGCAGACATGCTGAAAATCAGAATTTATCTCTTATAAATAGGCACAACCACAATGCCAAGAAGTCAAAGCAATATCGATCATTAAACTGAACAGTTTGCCTGCATTGTTTTTTTTAAAGGTTGGCATTATTATACCCATCTTTTATCTAAGGAAACAATGGCTTAGAGAAGTTGAATAACTTGTCCAAGATCACATAGCTAGTAAGTGGCACATCCAGGACTTATTAGTAGGTGGTCTCAATTCAAAACTTGTGCTCTTAACCTTTGTACTGTTTCAGATGCTATCACAAGTAATACAGAAATACAGTAGAGAAAATGGCTCACTTTGCTGGATAGTCAGGGAGGCCTCGCTGAGGAGGCAAGTTCAAAAATTACTAAGTGGATCAAAAGAAAAAAGTTTCCATTCAATCTTTTCTCATTTTTAGAACAGTTTATCTAATATACCCAGGCACTTTATTGAGTAGGAGAAAAAAATCCCTATTTTGAAATTACTTACATGTGTTTTATATCCACTTTTACTTAAGCCCTTCAATTCAAATTTCCAAATCTTCTTTTTCTTTTTAAAAATTTCCACTTTTTATGTAAAAGTAGGACAGTTATCTTTCAGGAGACTCTGAATAAAACCTGACTAACCCAAGTTGAAAACACTAAATTCTGCTTTAAATAATCAGTTACATTTATAAACTTAATTAAATTACCTTAACATTTTCATTTACATGTTAACATTAACATGTATAAACTTAAAACACTTGATGTTTTAAACACTTACATGCCTTACCAATAAATTTATTACTCTAACAGGAAAAAGGGTCCCAAGTGTTTAAATGCTTAAATGGCTCTGAAATACATTTTAAAAAATTAGTATTTTTGAAAATAGGATTTTTAAACCTTTACTTTGGAAAATGTAGACCCTCATATATTTTAATTGGGAAGTTGATTCTTCCAATTATTTTTTTCCTGGTCTGTATCAAATCAGCATGAATTTCAAAGACAGAGCACTACTTTTTGAAGTATTGAAATGTAATTAAGCACTTAAAAATGAATATATGTTTCACTTTTACTTTTGAGTGATAATAGAAAGTATTTTGGTATTATTGGGAAGTTATCATTATGACAATTACTTACCACTGTCCTAATTCAGCTCTTTTAAAAGGTGTTGATAAGGCACTTTTGGGTAAAGCAACTTACATTTTTTGATAAAACATTTTAAAATATATTGTAGCTTACACTTTCCAGACTTTCATTAAATTCACCTATCTTTCTAAATATTTTTTATAGTTTCATTTTCATTGTTCCTTACCAGTCTTTTAGATGACAGAACATAAAAATATGTCAAAATAAGAATAATCAAGGGCTATGCCTCTATTTTCATTTATGCCATGTAAAAATATTTTTCTATATACAATATGCACATGAACTTTAGGTGGTCATGGGAAGTCAAAAGTAGCCAAGCAGAGATGAGTAGAATCAGCATTATTTTTGCTATCTACAGAATAAATAAAACACTGAACATGAGTCATTAGTTTAATTATGGAGTAGTAAATTACAAATAATTAATAATTAATTAAACTTAAGAAGTGAACATGAAAACAAAACACAGAGTTAAAAATAGGCTTCTTTGATAAAAGCAGAATATAAAAACACATTGCTATGATAATTTTGCTAATGGAACTGCTTTGAACCAGGATAGTGGAAAATGATAGAATCCCTTGATGGTCTGTAACTTCATTTTCTTTAAAGAAGGCAGGTAGATCTTTGGCATTGAGAAAAGAGGGAAAGAGTTATTTTTATAATACTGGATAATAGCTTGAAATCCAAGAGTTACTAAACGAATGCAAGGGACTAAGCTATCTTACTTTAATGCGGCAATCTGCATCTTTAAATCTTTGGCAGAAAATACTCAATGTTTCTTTATGTCTTTTATCCTCTTATTGTTCATTTGGTGAATCCCTGTATTAACTTTTCATTGTTTTGTTTCTCACACCAATACTATAGTTCTTGTTTACCAGTACTTCTATAACATTCCTTCTTTCCCGCAGGTAAGACAGGATGCCAGAGTGGCCTTATATTTGTGTAGTGAGAATTACACTTGGGTTACGGAATAAAGGAGAGCAGTCCTACTCAGATACCTACTGCGTCTGGGCTATGCTGGGCACCTCACCCTTTCTGGGAATTTTCTTTGTGGGCATGGTGGGACACATATCCTTTGTTTGCTTTTGAGCTCATTTCGTAGCTTCTGAAACACTGATCTGGTTCTTCCCTGAAAAAGGTATGACATTATCTCAGTTGAAAGAGAAAATATGTATCTTCTATGTTTTGAGCTTAGTTGATGTGAACATATTGACTTGGGTTGTCCAATCTCAAATTTCATAACTTTCCTGAATTTTGAACCATAAGATAGAAAATGTACTATGTAATAGCCAAGTCCAGGGGATGAAGAGCTATGCCCATTCATTATTGTCTTTCCCATAGTCATTCAGTGTCACATACAATAGGTTTTGATGCATATTTGTTGAACAGATTAAGAATGAAAACAGGAAATCAAATCATACCGTTTGTCTACCTCTGCTATTTATTGTGTTGATTCATCTCATGTAAAGCTGAGGCCTTAGTGCATGAAAAAAGTAAGTAAATGTATTGCTTATAAGTGTAAGATTATGCGTATGGAATTAGACAATATAATGCATGTCATTTTTTTTCTAAATTTTACTTTAAATCATGGTTAGTTACATATTGATGTTGAATTCATGGAAATATAAGAAAAATGACTATCACAAAAATTGAGGATTAGAATTTACAAGAACTAAACATTTTTCAATATTCTTTAACTGTGTTTTGAATATTTATTAATTTTAAGTTTGAATGGTTAAGGCTGAGCATTTCAATTACTGTTAATTTGTCTTCAAAAACAATTTTTATGTACAAACCAGATCATGTTCAATTTTCATCATTGCTAGCATCTCTAAAATGATTTCTATAAGACAGATAGAAAGAATATTAGAAAAGAGACAAAGGAGAAATAATAATTGCTAAAAAGATGGTAAAATGTTTCCTGTCAGTCTTTAGTTGATTTATTACTCACTTTCTCTACTGGTTTTGTAACTTACGGAAGAGTCTCAGAAGCTCTTTTACAAAACCTGGGCAGCCCTGAAGGGTATATGTACACATCCATATTTAAGCCTATCTGGTTTATTTATCATTTGGTACATTTAGAAAAAAGAAGGGAGTAAGGTGACTTATGATGTGGCTTATAATATGGTATTTATCATGAGAAGTAGTTATATTTAACAAACATAAACATTTCTGGTTTGACTGAAAATTTCCCTGTTGATTGGATAGGGAAAATACTGTGTGGTAGTGAAATATTGTTATTGTTTTTATTGTTTTTGCCATTTGGTTACTTATTTTTCATAGCTCTTTTCAAAAATTACATATTGGAAAAAGGCAAGAAAGCAATACTAAATTTTTTCCCCTATTTTGCAGCCTTTAAACTTCTCTAAAGTCAGTATGATAGTGGATGAAAGGGTATTTTTTAAAGTTTAAAACTTACAAAATTTAATCTTAGCTCATAGACTACTTTTCAACAGTATTAGCATTATTGCACATGTAAAGTAGCCAAAATATCTGAAAATCAGTGAGTTTCCTATATTCTTACTGGAAGGATGAACTCTGTCTTTCTTCCTCTCTTCCTTTCTCCGCCATATAACAATAAAACTCATGTATTGACAGTGATCTCAATGCATATAAGTGGTTTGTGTTTGGCTTATCACACTGCTCTTGAGAATGCACATTTTACATGTACATGTATTATTTAGTATTTATTATTCCATGGAAGAGACTCACCTCTTTCAGATATAGAAAGAGTTCAGAGAAGAGGTCACACAGAAATGGTTTATGCATTAATGATGGTTCTTTACCATCTTCATTTAGATTGTTTGTGAAATTATTTGGGGAGGGCAGTGTAATGGACTCCACTCCTTAATTGACAGAATGATCTAATGTATTCATGGCAGTTCTGTCAGTAGGTCAGGGCAGGAGGAAATTACTAATCTTCTTTGTAAGACACTAGAAAGTTTTCAGACTCTAGAGTATGCGTTACTGAAGCCTATTAGAACTTAAAATTCAGATTATTAGCATTAGTTTGATTCATTTGCTATGCCTCTCTATTTTAATATGGACTGTGCAGTGTATGCACTGAGTCTGTTAGTCAAGTGGAAACCAATAACATAATTTGATCCATATATCACCCTCTTGGATTTGAAGTTACAGTAATCCAATGGAGGATAAAAAATAGAAACTTCTACTTCTCCTATGTAAATAGAAAAAAATGATCAGCCTGGAATTAATGATTTTATTAGGTTTCTCTTTTAAAAGTTTATGACTATGTCTGCTTCATTTTTGTTATTAATTTGGATGAATCTTATATGCTTGTAGCTGCAATGCCACAGATAAAGATAAAGGAATGGGCAATGATAACAGGAAAAATAAAATCAACTTGAATGTCACTAAAAGTTGTTGGAGAAAGAATTTAGGACAGATAGATACTCTGGTATTCTCTAAATTCCATTAACATAATGGAAGAGGACTATGTGCACACGTGTGTGTGTGTGTGTGTGTGTGATCTTGATATGTTCACAGTTGGTTGAAGATAGATTGGCAGTAACAGCTGCCACCAATGTCAACAATCAAGTACAATGAAGTGTGGCAACCCCCCGACTGCTTTTCATTCAAATGAGTTATGAGTTCTCACCGTTTAGAGTCACTCTCATTTTTAAAAAAATCATAAGCCGAGTTGTGAGAATTGGGGAATATCCACCTGGCAGGGAAATTTTCATGCTTTGTGAAAAAAAAAAAAGCGGAAAAAAGAGATTACATCAGATCAATCAAAGTCACTAGAAAATGTGAAAGTGAGAAAAAAAAGCAGTGAGAAATAACAAAAAAAGCAATCCAGGCAAACCCATTAATGAGAATGAGTGTCAGTTTTTCTTGGTTCAAGGACTCTGCTACAATGGATTAGAACACGGAGCACCATATCAGAAATGCACAGAGGCAACTGCAGAGAGGCAAGGGGCCCACTCGACCCCCAACATCAAAGCCTACTTGGAGAAAAAAAAAAATGCTTGGTTACTTGTAGCTTAATCCAACATTACACACTTCTTTCAAACATCAAAACTGCTGCTCAGCCTTTGGATGGCTGGGCATTCTAACTACTAATCCAGCCTTAATTATAAAAATTTTATACTCCCTCAGTTTCCTGCCCCCTGTACCACCACATGCCTGCTGGGAAAGTCATGGAAAGCAGGCAAAAGGAAATTAGGGAATGCTGCGTGGTTAAAGGGAATTGTTGCTTACTTAGTGGTCACAGCCAGATAGTATGTTCTAGAAGCGTCTGTATGTAAAGATCTTTTTTATAGAAACACTAAGCCAATTTCAAATTGTCTCTATGTTTTGTGGGAAAATCATTCTTTTTTCCTTTCTTAACTCTCCCTAATAAGCTAAAACTTACTGTCACTCTGAGGTATCTTAAATGGCATCGGGGTCACACAGATCACTTCAGGCTACTTGTGTCAAAAGGTAAAGGATACACATTTCTTTTCAATCAGCTTTTACCCACAAACATTGATTTGTGGTCTTTTTGTACCCTCAGGGCTAAAAGCACATCCATTTGTGTCTATGTACTTGAACTTGAGTGATTTCAAGTTGGAAAGTTAGATAAATTACCTTGAGAGCAAAATAAATAAATAAATTATTCCAAGCACTTCCCATGAATATGGTAAGTTTATGGTTTCTTATTCTTTTCCTAATCATTAACATAACTTATCCTTTCTCTTCCCATAACATATTTCTAAATGCTTGTAGACAATTAACATGTCTCACTTTCAATTGTTTCTCCTCTAGCCTGAACATGCCCATTGTTCACAGGTCTGTCTTATTTCCAAACCTTTTATCAGTTCAGTTTGCTTTCCTTTGAACTTACTCCAGTTTGTCTTTCTTTTCAAATGTATGATATCCAAAACAGAACACAACACTCAAGTAGGCCTAAATGGAGCAACTCAAAGCAGTAAAAGTGCGTTCTTTCTTTATGCATTCCGCCTAAAATCTAGGTGCATTAAAGTCTTTGCCTTTATTGGAAATAGATTTTTTTAAATCCTGCTAAGTTTGTTGCCCACAATCTCTAGCACCAGACAGAGCCTTTGGTACTATTAAACTCCCTGTGCGTTAATATGAACAGATGATTCCTTCCTATAATTATTTTATATCTGATTTCAAGCTATTTTTTCCAATCCATTAAAAATCATTCTGTATTAATATCTCTCTTCAGTGGTATTTATAATTACTCTTATTTTTTTGGTTGCTTGTAAACAATAATTAAGAATTTTTTTGGTTATCTTTTGGATTGTGTTTCCAATTTATAACAACACATCATTGAATCATATGGTGGAGAAGACAGTGTATAATGTACATTTTCTCCAAACATGACATTGGCCTATTAGCAATTATTCTGGTGCCCAAAAGATCAGAAACAATAGACTATCCATCTTTTAGTAGTTTTCTCTAATCCGTATTTCTCTGGTTTCTCTATAAGAATGCCACCCCCTACTTTTGAAAAGAGGACAGGTGTTAAATGACAGCTGCACTAGGTCTCTTCTGGCAGTCTCCCAGCCATGAGGGGTCTCCTCCATCCCCTCTCCCACATCCCAATTCCCAATTCTCCTCACCTCCTTCGCAGACCATAGACATGTTACGGTTGAAATAGAAAAGGCTATAATACAAATTGAGATATATAATTTTTAATTATCAATAAAGCATTTTTATTTGAAAATTTACTAGAAAATGAATGATGACCTTAACATATGTATTCTTCAAGAAGAGTACTACATCTCAAATATTAATTCATGTTATCAAGTACATAGGAACAGTTACAAACAATGCAACTCTGAGGTATCACTCAATTTTTATAAAGCTTGAATATATTTTAAGCTAGATTGGGCTTTGGAAAGTAAGAACCCTCTGTAGTAAAGATAATAACACCAACATTATTTGGGAATCATATTACTATAAGAACTGTAGGTTTGAGTAAAATAATTTTTTGGAGGAAAATGTTTTTAGATATAAGAAATTCTCATAAATTTTTTCTATAGGTCATCTAAGAGATATCTATTCTGTGACGATACCTGGTGGTCCAGCTAAACAGTGGGAAAATAAATTCATTAATTCTGATCAGGGCTATGTCAACTTACTCAACAATATATCCCTTAAAGCCAAAAGAGAGAACTTAACCAACAGGATTCTGAGGTATTCAGATATCAGCGTGAAATTATTTTGAAATCTTATATTTCATCCAAAACATTCATGCAGATTTTGCATTCTGCTCTGTGATATGCCTGTGGTTGTTTTCATATAAAAGTAATGCTTTGTATTCAATACCAGTAACATTCTTGCCTTTATTATTTTTTCTTTGCTAAAAGTGTGAATCTAAAAATATAAATCACATTTATCCTGTTATTATAGGTTATAATCTATTCACTGGTTGATCATTTATCATCTGATTCCTGCTCCAGCATCTGAGTGCTTCTCATGGGTAGGGAGGGCCCAGAACAGTGATTGGCACCGAATGGGTGCTAAACAAATATATGTTAGGAGAATAAGTTAACCTCATGTGGCACCCTACGCCTCTGGTATAGAAACCTCAAGATGTTTTACACTCCCATGTGAGATGCAGGAATTTAGAGTGCCTCTGTGATCCAGATTCATCTCTTAATCTTGCAATGACTATATCATCTACCCAATTTGAACAAATTGATACAAATTATTTAAAATTCCTCTAGCTACATCACAGGACTTCAGATACTTCTCACATAGCCCTAAACACATTGTGCTCATGTCTGTTTGCTTGTCTGTTTTCTTCATTTAACTGAATGGGGAGGGAGGGAGAGCCTGAGGGCAGAAACTGCTTGTCATTTTTCCTTCTATGCCCATGGAAGGAATGACTGAAGGAATGAATAACCTCATCCATGAAGGAATGCATGATTCTGACTCAGAAGTCAGGTAAGAGAAAGTTATTTTTATGTGATTCATGATATGGCCCAATATTTTTAAAGAACCTCCATAATCTGATCATTTTTCAACCTCATTTCCCTTGCTATAATACACTGATCAACAGAGTATGTGTTTGGTACACAGAAAGAGCACAATAAATGCTAGGTTACATCTAAAGTAGTATCTGCATGGCAGCTAGAAGTGCTCAGTAAAGGCTATTCACCATTCCCTTTCTCTATTCGATAGCTTAAAATTGATCTTTTCCAAGCCTTCCCCACCAAACATACAGGTACCTCTACCCAACTCATTAACTTCAGCTCTTCACCTGTGACTTGCCTACCTGTACTGTGTTCTTCTTCCTCTTCACCTGTTTTCACACAAAGGCAGCCCAGTTTTCATCTCTTTGCTCTCAAGCTCTCCAGCCTCTTTTATTTTTCTCATCCAAGAATAACTATAGTTGATATAGCATAATATATTTAGCAATATATTGTTGCATTGTTCACAGTTCACTATAGGGATTATTAATCTTCTCTCTACAGCATTTTACATTCACTAGGATTGAAATAATATATAGACAGATAACAAGTATTCAGATATATTTTTAACAAATTTATAAATATCTTTTATGGTTCTCGATTTTTTTTCTTAGGCTATTATAGTTCAAAAGCTAATGAAAACATTATAGAAAAGAAGATTTTAAAAAGTCGCTCCCGTGAAAAATTATTTAAAATTCCTCTAGCTTGCAGACATCCATTTGGCTGCTTATTGGAATGAAAAGCCAACATGGTTTAGTTAAAGATTGAAATGTTCTCATATTTATTTGATCTGTGGGATCAGTTTTGCAGTTCTGGATGACTTTAAACTTCATGGGAGTCATTTTGCAGGAAATTGCAAATTATTCTGCATCAACTTTCTTTGTCTTTTATTCTATGCTGCCCTAACTTAAAAGGCAGTGAGACTCCTTTCTTGTCCTGAGGGCTGTTGTAAATTGATTTGGAGTGGGGGACTTGGAAGTAAGGGGGACTGCTTCTCACCCTCACATTTAAATTCCTCTTCACTTCTTCAATACCTTGTCTGTTCTAATAACAAATGCTTTGAGTTAAATGAATTAGTTTTTATTTTAGAGTATTTAATTTTCTTTATTTAGAGTGTGTTTAGACATTTAAAATTTTTAAACATGCTCTTTTTGATACAGTCATAATATCATCATTTATGTATTAGTTATATTGCACAAATACTTTCCAGAAGTTATAGCAATATCCTCTACTGTTTACTTAGTACTTGTTTCTAAAGAAGATTGAATTAATCTTCTAAAAAAGAACCTCAAGTACCTGTGTTTCTTGTCTGTTATTATACTCATAGCAGATTGCCAATGTCCTAGAAAGACAAAACGTCCAAACTCCAAAGAAAGAATACA